>NC_000001.11:69250804-69553835 GCF_000001405.40 Homo sapiens | reverse complement strand
CACTAGCCAGTTTCTCTCTTATGCACTGCACCACCTCCAGAGAGCTGTTCCCTGATGATCTTACCACAAGAGCACAAAGCCTTTTTGCCTCAAACTTGCAAACTTATCCTCCAGCAAGATAACTCAAAATGCAACATAGATAGGCTCTTAAACACAGGCAGAACATGTACATATACCCTTGCAACTCTTGTTTTGTGTCTTTGTTCTAGTTTCCTCCCAATATAGCAGAGCAGCTGTGCACAGCTGCTTACCTTCATCTTATTTTTTATAAATCTCATCCATTATAGTCTAGTAATTCCTGATTCTCAGTCTCCAGGACCTTTCACAATGCAGATGAAATAGACCAAATCTCTAGCCTGTAGGAGCTTGAAGTCCAGTGGGTTCACAGATGTTGTTTGAAACACTCCTGACAAAGTGGACTACTGGATTGTCTCTTTCCAGTAACATAAAATCCACAGACACACCCCTTCCCAGAAATGTTGGAGATAAGAAAATCTTTCTTTCACTTATTTTCACAGCTGATATATTCTGGGGAAATAAACCAAACAACATATATTAGAGTGCCTAGTGCAAAAAACTTTAACTGACATAGACAATTACAAAGCAATCCCTTGAAGGATGTTCAAACCAGCAAGGGGGGTAAAATATACAAAAATCTTTTAGAATTGTTTGTAACTCTCATTGTTTCCTAGGATGTGATCATTCATTGTAGCGGAAATTGCTTATTATTATTGTCATATTTTCGGAGGACTAAAATGGACATGAGTGTGATAATTGAGGGTAGAAGGTGATACTGGATACATTATTCTGCAAAATCAAGTGGGCAGTGGTAGTGCTGACAATTGCCATAAAGAGAAAATCAAAGAAAAGGGTAGAGGCTAGGATACTGGACACTATTTGGTGTAGAACTAGAGAAGAAATCACAAGGAATGAGAAAGTTTGGAAAATCACGTACTGAGATTAAGGGAATCAAATGCCAAAATGTGATTCTGCCCTGTAACTTATCAAATCTTTGCAAAAAAGACTAAAGTGAGAAAATGCTAATTGTGTTTAGAATCTTATTGCAACAATGAGGCCTCCAAAGACTACCTACCAGCTTCTGAATGGGTGAGAAAAATCTGCCTATGAGAATGATCAACTTACATGTGGGTTATACATATAAAAATATAGTAAGAATTTATGGCAGAGCATGACTAGTTCCGAATGAATACATCAACTGGAAATATTTTATGAGTTCAACAGTGGGATAATCAAGAATTTTTTCATAAAGGAGAGGAGATGTCTAAGTCCTTGCTAGTTGGTGTTGAAAATCACCTCTGTCTAATAATCCAAGCAGCAGTTTTCTATATAACTCACAAAGCTCAGGGTATCTTAAAGCTCTTAAGAAGAGCATGCAAATATGCACTTGTGGATAATGCTCATATCAGAAAATGACTATATGTTTCAGAGATTATGACAATAGGTTCTAGTCCTGTTCTTAGCCTGGACAGTAAAGTCTAGATTATGATTGTTTTACAGTACATGGGACAAATTATCTATCAGAGAAATTGTTATTAACTCTCTCATAAAGCTCTGACATAAAAGCAATTCCTTTAAAGCTTTTGTCAGTTCTCTGCCTACTTTATGGGACAGAGGAGCACACTGCATCTTTTGGAGTTCTCAAAAAAGATATGTTGTCAAATTATTGATATAGGAGTTAAAAAGGAATTATTTAGGCAGATAGTGAGGTTAAGGAATCCTCGGTAAGGCCTTCCTTTTAATGAAAAGCAGCCCCCAAATCATTTTCTTTTCTAACAGAGAGCAGCCTGTAAAATCAAGCTGCAGAAATAGACGAGCAAGTTGGAAGTTTGCACAGGTGAATGTTGGCAGTTGTGCCAATAGGAAAAGGTTACCTGGGACTAGGCATGATCAAAATGGCCGCTCCATCTTCTCTTCTCTTGGCCAGCCACGTGTACAGTAAGGATCAGACAAGATGGCGCTGGCCAAGTGGAAAGACTATTTGCTTAATAAGATTAGGGTGGGGCAACCAGCCTTCCCCACATGCTATGTAAATGTCACATCTGTCAAACCAATCTGTGAGCCCTATGTAAATCAGACACCACCTCCTCAAGCCTGCCTACAAAATCTGCTACCGTCCGCTGCAGGCCAGCTTTTCCCTTTTGGATTCCCCTCTCTCACAAGAGAGAGAGCGAGGTGCTCTCCTTTCTCTTTCATTTGCCTATGAAACCTCTGCTCCTAAATTCACTCCTCATGTGTGTTTGTGTTCTTAATCTTCTTGGAGGAGGACAATGAACCTTGGGTATTTACCCCAGACAATGATGCTGCTTCATTATGACATGGTATCTTAAATTGCATTCTTAAAATTAGCTCAAGCAACAATGAAGTGTTTGTGAAGACATATACAAAAAATCCTCGAAATAACAACTAATTAGAATAATTAGGTATTACCTTCACTAAGAATTAATATGCTTGGGCTATCTTTGAGTTGTCCTGAATCCTACTTATACTCTTACTGCTCTCCTTACGGTCACTCACACACTAATTTTCAATATCACATGAAGTAACATCTGATAACTTGGATATTTTAGGACATTTACAGTGCTCAGACATGATGAGAAAACTGTTACGGGAAGCCCAAAATTAACCCCTACTTCTTCCTGACATTTTGCCATACTAAAGTAATTAATATATACAAAACTTCATATAATACACTAAAGAGGTAACTGGTTAGAAACACAGTCTATGAGGTTAAGAATAAGACATTGAAGTTAGGCAGATTTAGGTTGAAATCTCAGTTCTGCAAAACACTGTCTGTATTTCAGAAACAAAATTTTAAAACTATCAGTGCCCCAGTGTTTTCATTTAGAAAATAGGAATGATATCTACTTCTCTAGATTGTATGAATATTAAATAGAGCAATACCTATAAAGTATTTCACACATGCTTGGCGCACATAAAAGCTCTGTAAATGGTAGTTGTTATTTACCATTAACTTTCATAGTTAAATGTTAATTTAGTCTAGAAGCAAAAACATTCACTTTTATATCAGAAGCATTACAACTACAAAATTGAATGTTTTCCCCACTGGAGTGTAAGTTTTAGAGAACAGAGATAATGTCTATCATATTGACCACTGTATCCTCATAATGCTTGGCATGTGGTAGTCATTGAATTGCATTTGCTGACTTACTGAATGAATATGGACCATCTAGGCAACTTGTAGAGAACATTAATAGTCTCAAACAAAATTTAGAAAAGTACATATCTACATAGGGTCAATCATCAGGTGTTTGGACGGTGACTAAATAAAACTTGTAAAATTTCAGTGAATCCTTCTTTGGCTGATGTGAGAGTGAGCCATGTTTATGGCCATTTTTCTATGATAAAAACACCAGTAAAGGTCAATTAAGTGATTCGGGTTTTAGTCTCATAACTTTGTGGGCAGCAATTTGTTCAGTGTAATGTTGAAAGGTACAAAATGATAAGTAAGATTTAATCTTATGATCTGATAGAAAAGAATAGCCATGAATGCCAGAAAGAGAATGATAAGCACCATTAAGGAGGTACCATTAAAGTGCACTTTGAGTGCTCAAGTAGGGAAATATTTATTGTTAATTATAAAAACTAATTGCTAATAACCGATTGATTGGAGTATTTGATAACTGAGTCCTTATATAATCTACGTATCTGATCTCTTGACCTCGTTCTCTATTTGTTACCCCTCACTCATTTACTCTAGCCACACACCTACTCACTGTTCCTCCAATATTCCAAACACAAGTCCTGTTTAGAGAATTTTGTATTTTCTTTTTCCTTTGCCCGGAGTTCTTCTTTGCCAGATCCCCATAGAGCTCACCTTCTTACTTACTGATTGTTAATCAAAAATCACTTTCTCAATGAGACCTTTCCCAATCGTCCTATATAAATTTCAACCACATATGCTTATCTCATATCACTTTTTTCTGTTTTATTCTCCTAAGCATTTAGCTCTACACATAATACATTTTACTTACATTTTTAATTGTTGGTTTCTTTCACTATAATGTAAACTTCATGAGAGATTTTTTGTCTTTTTCTTGATTAGTGTATGTCCAGTGTCTGGAAAAATGAATGCTGATACATAGTGGAAAATCAAAATTTGTTGAAATAAAGAATGAATAAACTAATGGTTGTTTAATATTTAC
Source organism: Homo sapiens (assembly GCF_000001405.40). Classification (NCBI taxonomy): domain Eukaryota; kingdom Metazoa; phylum Chordata; class Mammalia; order Primates; family Hominidae; genus Homo; species Homo sapiens. The sequence goes on along the minus strand of NC_000001.11, from coordinate 69,549,651 downwards.
AGTTCAGAAAGTGCACTCACATAAATTTGTTCTTTACTCTTCCTAACAATTCTATGCAGTAGGTAGGATTACGTTTAGCTAGAGGAATCACTGAAGACTTCTTATAAGAGATGGCACTTGAAGCATGGGTCAGACAGCTGGAGAAAAATATGAAAAAATACCACATTTCCAAAATAAAAATAGTATTTAACAATTCTTATGAATCCCACTATTTGAGTGGAAAGAAATCCATGTAACTGTGATCATTATTTTTGTAGTTCAGATTATATAGCTTGGATTTAAAGCAATTTCCTTATGTTCAAGTTTGTTTAAAATACTGAAAGAAAAATAATGTCTGGAGAGTGATACGGATGAATGGCTAGGCACCATTTTTACTGGTTTTATAAATCAGATTAAACTTTTCAAATGTAGTCAAGTAAGTTTCACTGTACCGTAAGCTCCTTGAGAGCCTAAGCTTTAACTCTCCATTACCTGACACATAGCATGTGCTCATTCAACCTTTATACCTGACACGTAGCATGTGCTCATTCAACCTTTGCTCAATGGATATTTGTTGCTTTGGTATAAACCAACCACTGACAGTGAAAAATGAAGATAACGCTGAATTGGGTTATGAATTCATTCATTTATTCCCTCAGAAAACCCGACTGGGTTCTAACAATGTTTAAGAAACTGCTCTTTGTACTGGGGATATGATGGTGCACTGGCTGGTTCTGACTATGCCTTAATACAGATTGTAGGCTAGCAGGAAAAATAGACATCAAGCCATAATTCGCCTATTCTTGCAGTAAATTCTATGAAGGAGAAAGCACTATGAAAGCAAATAACAAGAGGATACGCCTGATTGTAAAGCTAATCCTATAAGTTAAAAAAAAAATTAAAGGCAACTTCTTCCAAATGTGGTAAAGAAGATAGGCATTGTTATAACAGAGAGAAATGCACACAGTAGGTAACACAAAGAACTTAAAAAGGAAAAATAAGACAAAAATATTCTCATTTTATTTGATAAGTTTTAAGCAAGACATTTTAATACCTTGGGAACTTGATGAACAGAACTAGGGAATGGGGAGAGTATTGACAGAATGGACCTGGTTCTATACATCAGTGGTCCCCAACCTTTTTGGCACCAGAGACCAGTTTTATGGAAGACAATTTTTCCACCGACTGGTGGAGGGCAACGGGGGAGATGGTTTCAGGATGTCAAGCACATTACATTTATCGTGAACTTTATTTCTATTATTATTACTACATTGCATTATATGATGAAATAGTTATACAATTCACCATAATGTAGAATCAGTGGGAGCCCTGAGCTTCTTTTCCTGCAACTAGATGGTCCCATTTGGGGGTAAAGGAGACAGTGACAGATCATCACATTAAATTCTCATAAGGAGCATGCAACCTAGATCCCTCGCATGCACAGTTCACAATAGGATTTGTGTTCCTGCGAGAATCTAATGCGGCCTCTGATCTGACAGGAGGAGGAGCTTAGGTGGTAATGAGAGTGATGAGGAGCAGCTGTAAATACAGATGAATTGTCACTCACTTGCCTGCTGCTCATCTCCTACTGTGCATCCTGGTTCTGCCAACAATCTGTGGCCCAGAGGTTGAGGACCCCTGCGTTACTTCACTATGTTCCTAAAGCATCTATCACTGTGGTTACACGCAATACATGCTCAATTTGTGCCAATAGACTAAATAAATGAATAAATTAAAGATACTTAGAAAGATGGGACTAGTAAAGTTGGATTATTTTAATCTGTGACTGATGATGAAATTTAGAGAAAAAATGATGGGAAATTGACTGCACAAAGGGATTTGTATTTTTTCTAAATATTGCTATCCAATGCCTCAGTTTGTTTAGATATTACTTCTAATGTGTACTTAGCTCACTTACACTGTTAATCTGAGGACCAGTCTTGGTCCAGAGGGAAATTCAAATGTAGCAAAAAAAATTGACCTACCTATCTACGTCTGTCTATGCATTATCAGTGTAGGTTTACAGCTGTACTCTTCATGAGAACTACCTTTTATTTTGAGATTATGTCATTTGTGATTTTTTATGCTGAAATGTCATTATTTTAGGAAACGTGCTATCTGTTAAGTTGCCAGGTGTTGAATACACCAGATTGGGTCACCTTTTCTATTATGCATAGGTGAATGACACTGATTTGCAGACTAGTCCTTCCCATCCTTCTCGGTTTGCACTGTCAACCTACTTGTCTTCTGAAGTAGGTGAAAACAACTTTAATTTTCCAAAGTGATAAGTGGTTGATTCAATTTTGGAGGGAGTAGAGTTGTTTAGGAGAAACAGGATGAAATTACATCTCATATAGGGAAGGTAAGGGGAAGATATTTTTGGTTGCCTATGTTCAGGCTGTACCCTCTTCTTATTTATTAATGAAGTCCCAATTTTGTTCAGATATTGACTATCAATATAACAAAGAAAAGAGGGCTAGCCAGTCATAATAATCCCATAACACTTTGTCAGTGCTTGGTTTGCATTTGCCATAAGATGGGAGGGGTAGTATGCCCTGATTTTCTAGGGGAATAAGTTCCTTTCTGATAAAAAAGAAAGAGGTCCAGAAGGAAGCCACAGTCAAAAAAAAAAAAAAAAAAAGAAAGAAAAGAAAGAGGAATACAAAAAAGACTTGTGCTCTCTGTTGCTTCTGACTTTGAATTGTATAAGTTGAGAAAGTCATGTGGAACTGTGGCAGTCATGTTCAGACTATGAAGAAAAGCCCAGAGAATCACTGATAACCTGACTCAGCATGCTGACAGTTTTCACCTGTTGAATCAATCCTGGGCTACCTCATGCCAGATATTTTGTTATTACTGAAAAAAAACCAACAATTTTAAGTTACACTTAATTATGCATTTTCTTAAATTTTACAGATTCATGGGGTAGTTTTCATGGGCCTAGTTTAAAAGACATGAACTATGTGTTTAGTCTATATTTTAATCTATTTAATATCTGATCACACACCAAATATGATGGACAAAACATCAACAGTGCATTTTGGAGTAAAATTACAGCATCCTTGGATAGTCATCAATGCATTACTTGATTAGTATAATTTTATTCTCAAATACAGTTCTCAAAAGTGTGAAAAGATAAGGATGCATTTATGAAACCACTAGCAATTGTAGTTAAGCAGCAAATCTATTAGTGCAGTATCATAAATTCTCATTGCTATGAAAAATGTAAACCCGAAGTTTAAAAGACCTTACCTGGGGCCTGAATAAATCAGCCAAATTGGTGGGGAGGGTGATTTAGTCTAGTGGAATAACATTAACATGAGTTTCCCTGCAAATTATTACCTATGGCAAAAAGCAACATATGAGGGTCAAAAATCTATAAAATTCTACCTTGTAAGAAATTTGATAACAAAAAACAGATATCTTATGGCACTTAGGATGCTTTTGGCTATAGAGATCACAAAATATGACTCAAATTAGTTTAACAGTAACAAAAGTCAATGGCTCAAATAATATGAAGTCCAAATGGAGAATAGGTCTCAGGGTTGGTTGATCTAATATCGCAACAGTATTGTTAAAAACCCAGGTTCTTTCTATATCCCTACTTACAGACACCTAGATGATTGGATTATAGCTAGTAGCAATTGAATCCATGTTCTCTCCTGTTAATATACAAATATATCAAGTGAAAAGAAAGAAAAATTTTCTAGAATCTTCCACCAAACATTTTTCTAGGTTTTGTTTCAGGGAGCTGGAATTGGGTCACTTGTTGCAATGGACTGAATGTTTTTGTCCCACCCTGTCCACCACCAAAATAAAAATTCATAAGTTAAAATTTTAACTCCCAATGTGACAATATTAGGAGGGCCTTTGGGAGATAATTAGGTCATGAGGGTAGAACCCTCATGAATGGGATTAGTGCCATTATAAAGGAAACTCTAGAGAATTCTCTCACCCTCTTTTTATCATGTAAAGATATACTGAGGAGACTGCAGGATGCAACCTGGAAGATAGCTATCTTAGTCTGTTTTCTGGTACTGTAACCCAATACCACAGCTGGGGTAATGAATAAAGAAAAGAGATTTATTTGGTTCATGGTTCTGGAGTTGGAAAGTCCAAAAGCATGCAGCTGGCACCTGGCCAGGGTCATACCTTGGAGGAAAGTAGAAGGGTAAATGAGCATGCAAGACACAGAGAAAATGGAGTTCAAACTCATCCTTTTATCAGGAGTCCCCTCCCTTGATAACTAACTCATTCCCATGATAACAGCATCAATTCATGCAGGAAAGGCAGAGCCCTCTATGACTTAAACTATCTTTTGAAGCTTTCACCTTGCAACACTGCTACAATGGCAATTAAATTTCAACATGAGTTTTGGAGGTGACATTCAAAACTTAGCAAGGGATCTCATCAGAATTTGACCATACTGGCACCCTGATCTTGGACATCTAGACTCCTGAACTGTGGGAAATAAATTTCTGTTGTTTATAAGCTACTCAGTCTGCTATACATTTTATATTCAATAGCAGCCTGAACTGACTAACACATTTGCATGTTCTTTGACCAATTTCTGACAAGGAGGAATAGGACTCTTAGAATAATGAGGGCTATCTCAGAGCTAAGAAATGGAGACATTTGTCCTGAATCATGAGGCTTTTCCTGCATAGAAAAGGCTACTATATGAAAGTCAAATGAGGTTCTCATGGGAAGAAAGAAGTGAATGGGTGAGGATAAGTTTTTTTAAAAAGTCAATTGCATTTCTTATTCACCAAGAGCCTACTATATTAAGATATTATAATAGGATTATTATTCATAAAATAAGTAATTATCACATTATCTATATAAACAGTGACTATGGTGATAGACACTATTAGTGACCTAGTACATCTATCAAATTTTGCTAGGTTATGATGTCTTACAAAAATGATGCTTTATTTCTTGTTCACATTACATTGTCCATACAGTTTTGCTCCATGTCTTCTTCCTTCTGGAACCCAGGTTGAAGGAGTAGCCCTGTATGAGACTTGGGGGCCTTTGTGGGAGAGGGAAAAAGAAAACGTCAGAACCTCATGATGAATTGGCATATATCACTTCAACTCACATTTCATTGGGTAAAGCAAATTTCATGGCCATTCCTGATGTCATGACTGCAGGAAAGTCAAATTATCCCATAAGCAAAATCAAATCCTCTCACAATAATTGGAAACAGTGATACGCTCTCTCAATCACCTCTAACAGACATCCATTTTTTCTCTCCTTCCTTACTCCTAATGCATCTAAGTCATGGAGCCAGGATTTGAAGATTGGTCTGCATACACCTTTCTAACCAGTGGTCCATACACCTCTCTAACCAGTGGTCTAATTGAATATCAAAACATACAGAATAAATTACTTTAAATATATTTTTAAATAAATATTTAAGTAATGTAACCAATTTAGGAATCAGTGGTATTGTTAAAAATACATCTATGTCAGTTGTTCACAGCTTAAGGTAAATACTACCATAGCAGTGGTTGTAAACATTTTGATCTCAAGATTACCTTTATTTATTTATTTCTATTTTTTGAGACAGGGTCTCACCCTGTCACCCAGACTGGAGTGCAGTGGCATGATCACAGCTCATTGCAGCCTCAATCTCCTGGGCTTAAGTGATCCTCCTGCCTCAGCCTCCTGAGTAGCTGGCACTACAGGCATGAGTCACTACCCTCAGCTAATTTTTCTATTTTATTTTTTTTGTAGATGTAGTGTCTCTATATGTTGCCAAGGCTTCTGGGCTCAAGCTGTCCTTTCTTCTTGGCCTCCCTAAGTGCTGGGATTATAGGAGTGAGTCACTGCACCCAGCCTCAAGGCCCCTTTACACTCTTAAAAACCATTCAGGATCATAAAGAGATTTAAAAATATGTGTTATACCTGTCTTTATTTACCATATTAGAAATTAAAACTGGAAACAAATTTAAATTGTTAATTCATTTCAAATAACATTAATAAGCCTGTTACATGTTAACATAAATAGTATATTTTTGTTAAAAATAATGATATATTTCAAATTTTAAAATTCATTAAAAAGAGGGGCACTGCTTTATATTATTGTAAATCTCTTTAATGTCTAACTTAATAGAAGACAGCTAGGTTATTTTATCTGTTATATCCATGCTGTATATTTTTTGGTTGAAGTGTATAAACAAAGTCATTACATAAATATGTGAATAGAAAAAGAATGAGTTTTTTTGTTTGTTTGTTTTGTTTTAGTTTTTTTTTTTTTTTGAGACGGAGTTTTGCTCTTGTTGCCCAGGCTGGAGTGCAATGGCACGATCTCGGCTCACTGCAATCTCCTCCTCCCGGGTTCAAGCAATTCTCCTGCCTCAGCCTCCTGAGTAGCTGGGACTACAGGTATGCACCACCACGCCCCGCTAGTTTTTGTATATTTAGTAGAAAAGGGGTTTCACCATGTTGGTCAGGCTGGTATCAATCTCCTGACCTCAAGTGATCTGCCCACCTCGGCCTCCCAAAGTGCTGGGAATACAAGCATGAGCCACCATGCTGGGCAAAGAATGAATATTTTAAGATAATTTTGTATGTTCTTCCTTGATAGTACTCTAAAACTTGACATGTGGTACTTTATAAGAGGTAGTTGCAATATACAATCAAACCATATCACTGGATTTTCTGTATTCTGTTACAACAAAATCCATTGGCTTCTCTTGAATTTTGAATGAATCTTTTATTCATGTATAATTTTGTACTGTCATGCATGTTCATTTAAAAATATTAGTTTACTCATTTATACAGATCTTCCAATGTTGACATATTTCATTATGCAATAAACATCATATTTATTAATATTGCCACTGATCTCATCAGGAAAGTCTGTCTTGGGAAGCTGTCAAGCTCACAGAAGCAGATGTAAGTTTTCCAAAACTCTTTCACTTGAAAGTTCAAATTTTATTACTGGCAACAATACTGTCAGTTGTCCTTGAGATGTCAGGCTGTCTTTGTTCATTTTTGAGAAAATGTGTGCCAAATATCCAAGTATGAATAGCTATAGTTTGCCTATTTGTCATTCTTTCAAATTAAAATGGTGCTCTATGAAAAGAGATTATTTCAGCTTGCAATTTACACAATCACATAAGTGCTTTTCTTGATACAAATACGTTTGGTTATGTAGTGAAGTGTTTTGGCATTTTTCTCATTTTTCTCCCACAGGATACATTGAAAAGAAGTATATTCAAAGGTTGACATTTAATAAAATTAATAATTTTTATTTTTTCATCAAAACCATTCTTAAGTGAAACTGATATTCTATTATTATTAGTATGACTATTATGTAATTTTATTTTTAAAATGAAAGTGTGTGGTAAAATGCAATGGCTAACAGTATAGCTCAGGGCCACCACCTTGATTCTTGCCTTAAAGCCAGCAATTTTTCTGACCATTGCTCTTGCACCATTAGTGAAAATTTCAATGTAATGAATAAAGCAAACAATGTCTTGATATTATTATGAAAATAGTTTTGGCTTTTCACATTACTTGTAAAGACCTTAAGGACATTCAAGGGTCTTAACGTCTGAGAACTACTGCTCTTCAGAAACCTTTTAAAGTCAGCCAATTTAACCTGTACATTCAATGCAAAGGTTAAAAAAAAAATCTTTGTAACCGCCTTCTCTCCTTGGCATTGTGATAGGTGCTAAGGCTAGAAAGATGTAGAATGCTTCTGCTCTCAAGGAGCAGGAACATGCTAGAGTCATTCTAGCCCTGAGAGTAGAATTTTGAGCCTTCTAATGTCAGTGCTCTGCTAGACAAGCAGAGGGAAATGAGTAGAACACAGGAAGACAGGGAAACACGTCATTCTGTCTGCAGATTCAGGCAACGACATCCAGAGTTGAAAAGAGGTTACCCAGGTGAATAAACAGGAGATGGGATAGTGCTCTAGGCCAAAGAGTAACCCTGAAATAAGGTATGGAGACAAAACATGTGTACAGACTTCAGTATTTCAAAAAATGAAGTTAGAAAAAAATGGGTTTTAGGTCACTCAGAGCTTTGTGTGCCCAGCTAAGTTGTTACAACTTTAAAATGCTGAGATTATGTCAGCAGGACTAGGGGATGAATTAGGCATAGACGGAATGTTAGCAGGTAGCAATAAGGAGTGGAGTGGGAAAAGGGAAATTTGGAGAGTTTAATTTGGAAGCTGTTGAATCTGTGTTTATGACATGCCAAATGAATTGGTACTGCTAGAATATAAATATATGCACCTGAAGCTTAAAGGTGACATCATAGGTATGATGGATTTACATTGTTAGTGTCTAAACGGCAATTACAATTGTGAGACTAGATGAAATAGTGAAAAGACTGTGGAGAGAAAGGAGCAGGGGACCAAGAGTAGATGTCTCAGTAAACGAGAGTTAGCAGGGGAAAAGGAACCTGTGGACGAAGTTGCAAATGAAAAGGCAGAAAGATGAGGGCAAAACTGTTATTGGATGATATTAACACTTAAACCAGTGAATTTAGGGTAACCAGATTGCTCTCTGTAAGGTGGGTGGGTCTCATCCAATCAACTGAAAGCCTGAATACGACAAAAAACCCAGCCTTCCCAAGGAAGAGAAAATTCTTGAGCAAACTGCTTTCAGATTCCACCTGCACCATCAGGTTTCCCGGGTCTCAAGCCTACTGGCCCACATTTCGGATCAGATGTGAACTTGCCAGGCATATATCTATTCTCCACACACCCCTTGGCTCTCTCTGTCCTATTGGTTCTATTTCTCTGGAGAAACCTGAGTAATTCAGAAACTGTGAAAGCAAATTATCATGAAAATAAATTTGTAGAGCAGAGAGTAATCAAGTAAGTTCCTCAGAATATCTCTTCTATTGCATGCTAATGGGTGCTAAAAACAAAGAAAGAAAGAAAGAGTTTTGCTGTAATTATATCTGGGGAATTTCTTGGTGCCATTTTAAATGCACTCAGCACAATCACGTAAAGTGTAAAATGCGAACTTTTAAAATATTTTCAAATCTAATATTTCTAATTCACCCTCACTTTTCTGGGTAGTTAGGGAGTTGCTTTTTATTTTTAAAGATCATTTTAAATTTACAAACTACCTAGTGGTAATAATTTTTAGTTTAAATTAGTTTAAATTCTTATAGGTACATGCTCAGTTTTTCACAGTTCTGCAAACTTCTGCTTTTCCCGCAAATGGCATTTGGATTTCTATAGCAGATTACTGTGTTCTTGTCTTAGAAAGAGAGCCCTGTATCTATGGGTGTTCCTTTTGGACTCTGTAGCGATTACTCTCTTGTCTACTTGGTCACTGCTCTTTCAGCTAAAATTTACTATCCAAGTTGGCAGCTGGTGAGCATATGATGTTTTTTCTGAGTTTGGCCAGGGCCTGTTGTCTTCCCTGATAACTCGACCCTATCTTAGTCCTCACCAGCACTTGAGGTCTGGATGTACCTTAACTGAACCCTAATCTACAACTGCAGAGTTACTTTTCCCAGTCACAGCAACTCGTAGGGTAAGCTTGCTAGCCAGCAGCTTTGCGTGCCTCTCGAAGGCCACTTGGAACTTCTGGCCACCTGCTAAACCCACAGGGCAAGCTGGAATTGACACTGGACGGGTAACTCTTGTTAGCCTCTGTCCAAACACATGATGCCACTGACTTGACTTTGTTTAAACACATTAATATAGTTGCCATTGGTTATGCAGAATACTTTTGCAGGAGGTTCTCCCTACTAAAACCAATGACAGAATGGCCTTTCTGCCCCTGAATTTCCCCTCACCTACATAGCAAACAGCCCTACTTTAGGCTGGAAATGAAAGAACAGGCCACACACATCCCGTCGCTTAATTCCTCCTCTTCAGGATCTCTTGTCCTTCCAAGTATCTATCTGAAATCAAAGAGGCGAAATTTCCACTTCCCCAGGATTTGACCAGATTTCCTTTCATCCATAGAATACTCCTTCCAGAGAAAATATTCCCTCCATTTTCCATTCCCTGAAGCTAGACTAATGGAAATATTGTAGTGAGCATGATTTTTATGACAGAGGAGTAAAAAAGTATGCGTTTACACTTAAATATAATCATGTATGTAAAGATCTGCAAAAAAGTGTTCTATTGCTTTTTTCTCTTAAACTTGATCACAGAGACCTTTTGACAAAAAGAATATTTCAAGATACAAATTTTCTTGAAATGCTAAGAATGAATGTAGAGTTTTAAAAAGGAACAAATGAACCACAAGTAAAATACAAGTGAAAAGTTTAGAAAGATGAGTGCATTGGGATGCACTGCTAAATGATCCATGAACTTCCTGGGGATGTTAAGACATTTTTGTTTGTTGTTTGCTTGTTTTAGGAGATTGAAGAGTGGGAGGTAAGAAAATGGGAGCAGTGAGTGTCACAGTTTTTTTTCCAAGGAGCTTGGTTGAGGAAGGAGTAAAATGGGGCAGTGGCTAGAGGGGAGACCCTCGATGGGAAATATTTGCTTTTGATGGGTGAGACATGAAGATGTTTACATGGAGGGAAATGAGTTACTCAGAGTAAGCTATTGAAGATATAGAGAAAGGAGAATAGAGCAAGGTCCCAAAGGCCATGAAGTTGGGTCAGATCAAGATTACAAAAGGAAGGCTACATCAAGAATAGGATGAGAGCCACCTCTGCTCCTGAGGCAGGTAGGAAGAAAGAAGTGTGCATGCGCAAAAATGTCAAATGTTTCTAAGTGGACAGCAGAGGAGACGAGGTATTTCAGGCCAAACAGCCTTAAATTTTTGTTAAAGAAGGAAGGAAAGATATTTGCTGAGAGTAATTAGAATAGGAGATTTGAAGAAAACTGAAAAAATAGTGAAGGTCCAAAAAGTCCTATAGAGGAGATAACCAAAGTTCTGGTTAAATATAAACAGTGATCGAGTGCTGAGACTGAAATCCATGAATTTGAATCTACATGGCACCAGTGTGCATGACTGTGTAATTTTTACCATGCAGTCAGTGTTCTGGATCAGAAAAGGCCAACTGTGAAATTGATCCAAGGTTGGGATTTTTCCATATGGAATATAAAAAAACAAAAACAAAAACAAAAAACAAACAAAAAAACCCCATGAATTTGAAGAATCTGAGGGTGTTGATGAGAGAGTGGTTCATGTAATCAACCAAGAAATCTAGGGAAGAGCTTGAGATCAGAAAGAAACAAATAAAATGGAAAGATCAAGAGCCTGGTATACTGGCAGGCAAAAAAAAAAAAACAAAACCCAAAAAACAAACAAACAAACAAACAAAACTTCAAGTTAAAGGAATACTGGATGATAAAAACATTGAAGTTTCTTTGGGTGAGTTTTCCTGGAAATGAGAAGAAAATAGCAATAATTCATTGTTATGTCATATGATAGCTGATTTTCCCAATGCCATATATTAACTATTTGGTCTTTCTTCTACTAATTTCCAAAATTTGTTATAAATCAATTTCCCCTGTACTTGTGGAACCATTTCTGTTTCACTGTTACAAGTGACACTATATCAAATGAGTCTATAATAAAATAAATATAGTAAGTTCTAGTATCTGATAGGACAAGTTCCCCTTCATTATACTTCAAAATATTCCTGGCTATTCTGGTTCATCCGTTAACCAAAACACAAATTTTTGATTAAGCTTTTCAAAAATTACTGAAAAACCCTGATAAAATTTTGATTGGAATAGCATTGAATGTACAGATTCAATTTAGGGAAAATTTGTCTTTTAGCAAGCATGGGTTTACAACTGATGAATATGTTAGATTGCTAGATATAATAAAATATTCTTTCATGAGTTCATGATCTTTCTGACCATTAAGATTTATGTTTAGTTACAAATTATTTTCATATTGTAAATATAACCATTTCTTTAAAACTTGTATTTTCTAACTGATATTGATATTAGATGGGAATTATTATTGATTTTTAGATATTGAACTTATATCCAGAAACTTCTGACTAGTAAATAGCTATTAGTTCAATTAGTTATTAATTCTAAGGGTTTGTAGATTTGACTGGTTTTATACGCTGTCATATCACTCAGTAATAATATGTTACTGTTTTTTCCATATTTGAATACAGACTAAATGTAGGCAAAGAAAAAGCAATGTAGGTATTTGGGGAAGGAACTTTCTAGAAAGGAGGCTTTTTGCTGTTATTTGTTTTTATAGTATTAATATTTTATACTGTGTATCAGATTTGTATTTCTGGATTCTTTCATTTTAAATATTAATAATTGTCTCTCACTTTTCCCTCTTTCCCCAACCCTAGCTTTTAAATAAACTTCCACATTTCATTGGTATTTCTAGATTTAGCTTTAACTTTTTTTTTTTTTTAACTGACAAAAGCCATAGGGCTGGTTCATATTTGACTTTTGCCCCACACTGTCTTTTTTTTTTTATTATTATACTTTAAGTTCTAGGGTACATGTGCACAACATGCAGGTTTGTTACATATGTATACATGTGCCATGTTGGTGTGCTGCACCCATTAACTCGTCATTTATATTAGGTATATCTCCTAATGCTATCCCTCCCCCCTCACCCCACCCCACAACAGGCCCCGGTGTTTGATGACTGCCTTCCTGTGTCCAAGTGTTCTCATTGTTCAATTCCCACCTATGAGTGAGAACATGAGATGTTTGGTTTTTTGTCCTTGCGATAGTTTGCTGAGAATGATGGTTTCCAGCTTCATCCATGTCCCTACAAAGGACATAAACTCATCCTTTTTTATGGCTGCATAGTATTCCATGGTGTATATGTGCCACATTTTCTTAATCCAGTCTATCATTGTTGGACATTTGGGTTGGTTCCAGGTCTTTGCTATTGTGAATAGTGCCGTAATAAACATATGTGTGCATGTGTCTTTATAGCAGCATGATTTATAATCCTTTGAGTATATACCTGAAACTGAACAACCTCATCCTGAATGACTACTGGGTACATAATGAAATGAAGGCAGAAATAAAGATGTTCTTTGAAACCAACGAGAACAAAGACACAACATACCAGAATCTCTGGGACATATTTAAAGCAGTATGTAGAGGGAAATTTGTAGCACTAAATGCCCACAAGAGAAAGCAGGAAAGATCTAAAATTGACACCCTAACATCACAATTAAAAGCTTTTACTTTTATTGATTCTGTCATTTTGTGTTATATTTCAATACTTTTTATGTATATCTTCATTATTACCTTCCTCTCACTATTTCTTTTTTTTATTTTATTACTTATTAATTTATTTTTTGAGACAGGGTTTCACTCTATCACCCAGGCTGGAGCGCAGTGGTACAATCATGGCTCACCTCAGCCTCAACCTCCTGGGCTCAGGCAGGTGATCCTCCCACCTCAGCCTCTTGAGTAGTTAGGAATACAGGCGGCCACCAGCATGCCTGGCAAATTTTTGAATTTTTTTTCGGAGATGGGGCTTCACCATGTTACCCAGGCTGGTCTCCAACTCCTGGGCTCAAGCTATCCACCTACCTTAGCCTCTGAAAGTAATAGGATTACAGGCGCCATCTACAGTGCCCGGTCTCTCTCACTATTTTGATTTTTTGATTTACTTTGTTCTTACATAATTTTTAACTTATTACTTTTTAATCTTTTTACATTTTAATGCCATTGATTTCTCTGCGACATCTCAAAAGTTTGTATTTTTAGTGTCTTTATTGTCATATTCTTAACATTGTGCAGTTTGCATTCATATTTCTTCATTGAGATGTTCCAATATGATATTTGGAATTATAGTTCTTTTTTAAATCATGTAGTGATTAGGGAGTGTTATTGAGTGTAAGAATGTTTTATGGATTATTGAATTTGTAATTTGTATTTTACTTTGTTGAGATTTTCTTTGTAGTTTAGTAGATAATTGCTGCAGTGTGGAAGTTTATTTCCTCCAAATCACCTACTGAAATTTGACCCTTAACGCTGGAGGTGGGGCCTAATTGGAGGTATTTGGGTCATGGAGGTGGATCCCTCATGAATCGATTAATGGCCTGGGGGGTAGGGGGTTGGGATGAGGGGTTCGAGAGGGGTGAGTTCTGGTTCTATACATTCCTGAGAGAGCTGGTTGTTGAAAAGAATGTGGCACCTTATGCTCTCTTGCTTACTCTCTTGCCATGTGGTCTCTGCACAAGCCAGCTCCCCTTTGCCCTTTGCCATGAGCTGAATCAGAAGCAGATGCTGGTGGCATGCTTCTTGTATACAGCCTGCAGAATTTTGAGCCAAATGAACCTCTTTTCTTTATATGTTACCCAGAGGCTCAGGTATTCCTTTATAGCTAAGCAAAATGAACTACGACAGTGATCAAATTTTGAGCATGTTCTATACGTGCCATGTGCTTGAGAAGAAAACGGATTCTCTAATTGATGAGTTCAATGTTTTATTTAATAATTATGTAGTTTAAATATTCCATTTTCTCACTAATGTTTGCACAATCCATCAATTAAAAATTTTCTATAATCGTGGTTACTTGTGATTATTTTTGTAATCTTGTCAATTTTGCTTTATGTATTTGAGGGATTTGTTACTCAGTGTGTGTGTATTTAGAATTATAGTTTCTTCATGATGAGTGCTATACTTGTTTGTCCTATTATATGAAATTAAAGGAGGTTCTTGCTTTGGACAGATGCCCTGGCCTAGCCCCAGCAGACCAGACCAAACAATGGAGTCACTCATGTTAATGCCACAGAATCAATTGAAGTTTTAAGGAAGCAAACAGATTACCAAACAGACCAGTTTTTTTTTTTTTTTTTTTTTTTTTTCCTGAAAATAGGAGATTCTAGTCTACTTGAGTCAGGGTAATAAGAAAGTCTCCTCTGCCTTAATTCCTACAGAAAAGTAACCTGAAGCACCCTGATGTTAACCAATCTGTTTTTTACCTATTGTTCTGTTTCCTTGCTCCCACTTCACAAAACTCGTTGTTCTGACATTGTTCAGTGGAGCACTCATTCTATTTTATAGAATGGAGGCTGCCCCTGAGTCATGAATCACAAATAAAAGCCAATTAGATCTATAACTAAATTTGTTGTAATTTTGCCTTTGCCATCCCAAATAATATTTTTGCTATTTGGTCAGTTTGAGCTGATATTAATGGAACCACAGCATCTTTTAGTTAGTATTTGGCTGGCATACAATATTCTATCCCTTTTTTAAAAATTGTCTATCTTTATATGTTCAATGTGTGTCTGAAATAGTGGTGAATGTCTTATTAAATAGCTGGACTTTAATATTCAGATATGATCTGAAACTTTCTTAAAAATTATGTATATAAATTTATAGGCTACAAGTACAATTTCGTTACATGCATAGATTGTGTAGTGGTCTGTTTTTCAATGACTAAATTAGTTATGTTTATTTTTATTGTCATTCCTGATTATTTTGACTTATATTTAACATCTTATTCATGTTTTCTTTTTACAATACTTTTAGCTTTTTTTACTCCCTTCTTACTTTCTAATGTGTTCATAACCATTTTATTTTCTTCTCCTCTATTGATTGGAGGTTTATGCATTTTCATGTTTACTCCTTTGTTAAATACTTGACTTAATAAAATTTATCCTTAATCCATTAAACTTCCTCCAGAAAACTATGAAGATTTTAGAACATTTACATTCGCCTCTCATCTTACATGGTGATGTCCAGTATTTTAGTCCCAACGTGACTTTATATCTGCAAATTAGTCATCGTCATCATTATGATTTTATATATTCAATGCTTATTAGATTTGCCAATACCAATTACTAGGCTTATCATTATTCTTTACGTAACATTCTTTTCTTCTGGATTTGAATTTCTCCTTATTAAAATATAGACCTTAGTGGCTATTGGAAACAGGGTTTATGTATGGCAAACTCTTTTAGGCTTTGTCTAAAATACGCTTGTTTCTTCACTCTTAGTTTATAATTGATTTGATTATAGAATTTTAGATTGATAAGTTATTTTTCTGTAGCATTTTAAAGAAGATATTCCAATATTTTTCAGTCTGTAAGACTTTTACTATTGTTGCTATTCATTTAAATATTGTCTTTATAGATGACCTGTCTTTTAAGTTGTCTTCGTGTTGTACATGTAATTGTAAAAATACAATAACAATGCATATAAAGCAGGTAGAACAGTGCATGACTCATAGTAAGCACAAGATTAATGTTAGCTACTGTTGTTTTGTTGTTAAACAGGAATGTTTGGTTATTGCAGACTTAATGTCAATTTCTTGAGCTGCTAATTCTTTTGTTTCTATTTTCTTCTAACTTTCCCTCTTGATGAATTATTTCTTTAGTTGGTAGTGGCTTATCAGTTTTTTTTCCCCCATGGTCATTTTCTATGGAGGTTTTTATTTGCTTGTTTGTTTTGTTTGTTTGTTGGTTTGTATTTTCCATCCCTGGGGGAATCCCATGTGTCCTGGGTTGTAAAACTTTCCTTAATGCAAAGTTTTGCTTTTTCTTGGAATTCCATAGTTAGAATACCAGAATTTTACTGGTCTTGGGCCAACTTTTATACTTCAAACTTTGAAATTTCTATTCCATATAAATAGTGTCAGTATGAGCTCCCAAACCATGTCAAATCCAGGGTGAGATAGGAGCTTTAATTTTTTTCATTTTAGTGCGGGGATGAGCTCTTCCAGGGTGTCACCTTAGCACAAATATCTAACTTTTAGATCCTTACCTTGTTGTGAGCCAAGGCCTCATCTCTTGCTTCCTGCTGTTTGTTAGAATCACAAACCCTAATATTTAGGGATTATATGTGGTGTAAGGCTTCCCCAAATTCTCACGCAATCAATCCATGCTCTTACTGAAATGGCATTTCATTACTTCTCTTCTGTTATCTGAGGCTTTTCATCTTTTCTATTTTAAGTTATGCATCTTTACATTTCCACATTTCATCAAGTAGTCTATATATTTAAGCAGAAGACTTTTCCATGACAACTTATTCTACCAATAATGTAGATAGTCTTTTCATTTTTAAAAATCTTGACACATCATAAGTGCTCAACTAACAGTATTTTTGGTTTCATCGTTGGACAGCTGACGTACAGATTTAGTGCTTAGGAGAGAATCTGAATTCATTTACTGTACTCATTTACTAAGAAAACCATATATTTTTAGCTTAGTAGAGAATTTATAGTAACAACCCTGTTTGGTAAGTATCATCTTCATCCTCTCTTTATAGATAAAGAAGCCAAAGATTAGATAAAATACCCACAGGTCACAGATACAACCAGGATGATTATGCAAGACATTAATTCCAAATACATAGTTCTCTATTTCATAAGGCTGTTTCCAAGTTTTAGTGTGACTTTCTAGACAACCTGAGTGCTATTCTATGTACTGAAAGTTTAACTCATTACCCTCAATGCGTATTATAAAATATCAAATCCATATCAGAGAAAAGCTAGAATTTCTGACATTATTTTGTCTGCTGTGTCTGTTTTAGCTTTGCTGAGAGCTGTTTTGTGTGCTGAGAGCCGATGTGTGGCCAAAGCTCTTGGGTCAAAGTGAATACTTGATAAGTAACTGCTTTTACTAGAACTATATAGGAGAAAAAGAAAAATTAATGTCGGTGTTTTTGTGCTCTATGTCAAGTAGTTAAACTTACTTTCTATTTCACATTGATTTGACTCAAAGAGAGAAACCATAATTGACACTTAAAACCATACCAATGTCTTATATTAGTTTTTAGAATGCCAATGAAACAATGTACTTAACAGACGTACTCCAAATTTGTCTGTGAAAATTTAGCCTGTAGTTATTTGTCTGAGAGAGAAAAGGCTATTTGCTTAAGTAATATTTTAATACATGTTCTAAAATGGTATGTGTGTATGTGTTTATGTGTGTATGTGTGTATGTATTGACGTGTGTGTGTTTGTATACACACATATATAATATATATGAAAATGTTTTAGTGTATAAATTCAGATGCTTTGGGGCTTTTTAATATAACCGTGTTTAAGTACATATAGATTTGAACTGTAAGAAATATGTTTTTGAGAAATTTTATCAGTTTTCTATTTATGAATGTAAGAGCTAGAAGCAAAATTAGAAACAATCTAGTTCTTCTTCCTTATTTGAAAGATGAAAAAAATTCAAAGCATAAAACCAAAACTAAAATGCCAGCTTTAGCACCTTTTCAAATATGCTATGATTCTTTTCAACACATCGAAATATAACATGACTTTAGCCTAGTCATGAAATTTAGCAAAATAAAATGTTTATTTTAAATTGAAGTGTTTAAAATATCCATTACCACTGAGATTTAATTATGCTATATTTGACTAGATCAAGTTGTATCTATTCGGACAATAATGATGTGTTTGAAAATTGGGTTTTTGTAACGTGGCTGCTTTACATGGTGAAATCAATTCAGTCAATGATACAAGGCTCATATTAAAATATTAAAAATTGTTAGATTTAGTAGTCTTGCTTAGATCTTGCTTAGATCTTTTACACCAGATTAGGAATCAGAGACAGGACAAATACTAACTTCCAACAGTAATTCTCCTGAAATTAAAAGAAAACAAATAATAAATAAATAAATAAATAAATAAAGTTTTCCGCTGGCATAGCAGTTAGAATTATGGGCTCTAGCATGAGACTGTCTGGCTTCAGTTATGGTCCAGTTACTTAATCTTTCTGTGCCTCAGTTCCATCTGTAAAATGGGAACCATATTATTATTGTGAGAATGAAATAAGTTGAATATATAAAGAGCTTACAAGAGTGTTGGATGCACAGTTAATAGTGAATGAGTCAGGTATTGCTGTTTTTGTTGTTGACAAGATTGCCTTCAGCTCTCTCTCATCTCTTTCTTTTTGAAAATGCGTATCTTTTTGCTTGTCTGGGATGACAATGCTCTCCTTCAAAATTTGCATCAGCTCTTGTAACTGTTTTCTCTGATTTTAACTCTGATGTTATATTAAAGGCCTAGAAAAGCAGAGTTTTCTTCCAGTATAATTAGATTCTGTACTCTTGACTTTTCTTGATATGCCTGAATTGTTCTATGTAACCAGGTATTTCACACACTTTTACTTTCTCTAAGAGCCATGTATTCCCCTGATCAATGTACTGGTTTTCTTGTTTGCCTTCCTCTAGGATATGGCGTACATTCAGAACCTTGTAAACACTCTTCCTGTGTCTGATTAAATTCATCAAGTTCAACTTCCAGGATACCTAAGTATGCTTCCAATAAGGAGAAGCAGTCAGGCTGCATGAAGTTTTTATCTTTTTGGTAAGTGGCCTGAAAAATCAGAGTTTACGTTTTATCAAGATAATTTCTGCATTGTCTTTATTAGGTTTTAGTTTACTTGAGAATACTCTGCTTTAAGATGGTTAAGGTTTTCATACCCATGTAACTTTCTGTATTGCGTTTGACTTCTTTGAATATCACTCTGGTTAAATGAATAACTGATATTTAACAATGACCTGTGATTTTGTTTTGATCAAGTATTTTGAATGTGAAAGTTTTTACATCTTTGGCAGATTTCCCTAGGATCAAAATCCTAAATTAAGTTTTTGGTCTAAAATTAACTTTGGGGTGTTCCAATTGGACCTCTGGAGAGTCTCAAAGAATGTGGTTTTCATCTTGCAGAGACGTTATATGATTATACTTTTTTGGTAAATTGTATGGGAGGCATTGCCAAATGATGAGTGATACAAGATCTATCAGTTACGTTTATGGGTATGTGATTGATATCAATGTTCTAAAATTGTGTAAACTCTTCGAAATCTAATATGTCATCAGTCATAATTCTGATTATTATGTTGTATGCCACTAAAGTAACTACAATTTCTGGTTATGATAAACTTTCTTCATAATTTTAACCATGGTTATTCAAAGTCTGTCATCTATCATTACTGTGTTGATTTTCCTTTAAAAGCATTCGTAATCAGATTCATGGAAAAAACTCCAACAAATACTTTAAATGCAGGTTTCTAATAACTTTAAGGTCAATAAATAAAATGAAAATTTTCCAGGATTAAAAAAATTCCTCACTATAACTGATCGGTTTATAAAACTTAATAAAGATAAGACAAAGTAAAAATTAATCACATGAGCTTAAGTAACTGATAAAGATAATGTTTTGATAACTTTTATTTGAAACAACATTTGTTCTTTACAGACATGTTTTCAGAATTAAGAAAATATTCACTCTTATGCTATCTACAGTTTACAGCAATTTGGTAAAGTATATTTTTGTGAAGAAAGGTGGAAGTATTTGCCTTTTTACCCTGCTTGGTCCCTTCAAAATTTAAGCATTATTCTTGAGTAGTCTTATTTTTTATGACAATATAATTGTTTATATATTTTCAATGAAAATCTTCTCTCTCTTTATAACAGGATACAACTAGAAACATTGGTTATATTACCTAGGTTTTGACTGGAATGTCATATTTGAGAATGTGCAAAGAATGCCTGGCTTCAAGGGTTCCCAGCCTTACAGCGAATGAATAGAAACTGTCACTTCCTGGCAGGCCCAAGAAACTTAAGACTGCTTTGGTTTGGCTTTCTAGCCTCAAGAGACTTTTAGATCTAAGATTTCTATGTGATCAATGTAGAGAGAAAATGGTATGTTTCTAAAGAATAGCTATGATACACCTGCTATTAGATTGTAGCTTTTTGCATTGTTTCAAGTTCTTGTTATCTACCTACAGACTAGACTAGATCTTGGATTTTTCTAGTTCCCTCCAATCCAACTTTCTTCTATAGAATTACTAAAAATGGGAGTTGTTCTCTTCCTGAAGCCCTATAAGCTAAAACTAGATGAATTTTAAGAAACCAGTCTCACTGCCTGAGGTATGAGTCACAAGGAAAGTTCACTAAGCTGCCCAGTCCCCAAATCAGACACATTCAAACTACAAACCAGGACAGGAAGTTGACAGTTTTACTCTGTAGGTAGCATTTCCCAAGATGTTGGAACAAACCTCCATAACATGAGACTCTTACTCCTCTTAATGCTATCTTTTTCACTTGGCAGAACAGTAGCATGCTTAAAACTTGTGAATCAGTAGCTTCTGCTAACAACTTGACAGAACCTGACCAAAGAGATCCTTTAGTATCTAATGGTTAAATAAGGAAATGTCTGTGCTATCGCCAGTACTACCTGCTGTGCCTAGATAAATTCCTCTGAGGAAGTTGAGACACTTATACACACAAAATAACAAAACAACTCACATGGTTACAACAGGTCTCACCTAATTCCCCACGGTCATTTTATTTATTCAGTTGGTTGCTTTTAAGTTTAGATTCATAACTCAAAACCATTACACAAACTGGGGTTACCATAGTAATATTAATTTTGCTTTGCATTTTCCCTTTTTCAAATTTGCATCTATTACTTGTTAAAGTTCTGCACAAATACAACTCCTAACAGAATAATGCTGGTCCTGCACTTTGAGATGATAGCAAAAGCCTACGGAACAGACACAACTGAACTTAACAATGGACTTCAGGTAGACTTAGCCTGAGAGCCACTCCCTTCAACCCTCCCTTTGTTGCTCAAATGTGGCTGAAAGTGTTTTGCTATGATTCCTAATCACCAGCCACTCCCTCCAACACAGAAACAAATCAGCAACCCAGGACAGGTGCATCCTGGCATTGAGGGACATCAAAACCTAACTACAGGATGATTGATCAGCGATGCTTTTGGAAAAAGATCTTGATCAAAAGGGAGAAATTTGAAACTTGTCAAAATCAAAATGAAATCACTTGTATTTAAGACAAACAAACAACAACAACAAAACACTGACAAATAGAGTCAGAGCAAGGGAGGGTTCTCCTGCACATTTGCTTGATAACAAGAACTATCACAAAAGAATCTGCAAAACCCACAATCTCACACAAAGGCTATCATAACCTCACTGCATTAATCAATTTTCACACTGCTATAAAGATACTACCTGAGACTGGGTAATGTATAAAGGAAAGAGGTTTAACTGATTCACTGTTCCTCCCCAGGAAACTTACAATCACAGCAGAAGGCAAAGGGGAAGCAAGGACCTTCTTCACATGGCAGCAGGACAGAGAAGTGCCAGCAGGGGAAATGCCAAATGCTTATAAAACCATTAGATCTCGTGAGAACTCATTCACTATCACAAAAACATCATGGGGGAAACCGCCCCCATGATCCAATTACCTCCTTCCTTCAACACATGGAGATTACAGGTCCTTCCCTTAACATGTGGGATTATGATTGGAGATGAGATTTGGGTGGGGACACAGAGCCAAACCATATTATTTACACACACACACAAAATACTTCCATGGAGACATCTGCCCAGCAGCTGCCAGTCCAATATTGAACTGATGCCATCTTTTTATTGATTCTTGTAGCCAAGGATCATTATTTCAAAACAAGTATCCTCCTAATTTTTCCTTTGAAAACCTTTGTCTTCCCTATTTCTCTGAATATGCACATAGCTTATTATGGCATGTGTATTCCCACTGCAATGCCCTATTCTTAAATAAACATCATTTTCTATTAGAGACCAAGTCTCTGTTTGTTATTAAGGTTGACAGGGGCAAGGGTGCAGGAGCTTCTGAACTCCTGTACACATCTGTCATTGGTTAAGGGCTGCCTACTGAGATTGGGGAGTGGGGAACGGGGGGTACTTCTGGCCTTCCTTGTGTGCAGATAAAGTAGCCAGCAGTCACAGCAAAGATACATGGGTGATAACTTCCAGCTCTTGGGAGGAATAGCACACCAGCAGGTGATACATGGAAAATAGGTAAAGGTGTCTGAATATTTGATCAGAGCACTGAGAGCATCTGACACAATGGGTTAGGCACTAATTAAGGGAAATTGAATAGCTGGAGAAAAAGAGAATGTAAACCAGATATATAAGCCATGACTTTGCTGTTTACTGGAGTTCTGATGATTATATTTATTTACATTATTGAGATAATAAACTCAAAAAAGACTCCATTATAAATTGAAGATGTGTGTTGAATATCTACAAATAACATCCTAATGTTTATACTAGAGATACATATACATATACATATACATATATATATATATATACATATACATATATATATATATATATATATATATTTTTTTTTTTTTTTTTTTTTTTTTTTTTTTTTTGGATGGAGTCTTGCTCTGTTGCCCGGGCTGGAGGGCAGTGGCATGATCTCGGCTCACTGCAAGCTCTGCCTCCCGGGTTCACGCCATTCTCTTACTTCAGCCTCCTGAGTAGCTGGGACTGCAGGCGCCCGCCACCATGCCGGGCTAATTGTTTTTTTGTATTTTTTAGTAGAGACAGGGTTTCACTGTGTTAGCCAGGATGGTCTCGATCTCCTGACCTCATGGTCTGCCCGCCTTGGCCTCCCAAAGTGCTGGGATTACAGGTGTGAGCCACCGCACCCAGCCTATACTAGTTATATTTTTAAAAACGGTTACAAATGAAAAAGTAAAATATGGAAAGATACAACAATAAAAAATATGAAGGATACAACTGTCTTTTAAGTGTGTGTGTGTGTGTGTATATGAACTGAAGGGATTCATATTTACTTTTTCTTCATAGCCCTAGAAACACAGGAAAAGCAAAGGACTTAAAATTGGTACTCTGATTAGATCAAGTAAACATGTTGTTGGTTCCCAGCTACAGAGGCAGTTTCATTTCAAGATATCGTCTTGCCTCTTGCAATTGAGGGTCTGAGATGGATAGGTTTTTAAAAGATATACAAGAAATTCTTAATGCCACTGCTTATTAAAGGAGAAGTTGTCGCTGTGTGTGCCCAATTCCAATAGCATTAAAGAATTGTAATAAAAGATATTGTCACCAACAGCATGGTTAATCTTTTCTCTATAAGAATCTACTGTCTTTTTGTACTATACTTAGGTTAAGCTTATAAATTAATTTTCATCAGTTATTTCTCCTTAAAGGATTTTTCATTTCTTTAAAGTCTTTATTTTTGATACACTTGATCTATGACAGATTAACTACTTGATTGAAGATTCTGACCCTAATGTTTACACAAAGGAAGGTTTTATAATCGTAGACCTTTGCATTGTCTTATTTCTTTGTATTGTATAGTACTTTATACATAATAAGTGCTCAATAAGTATTTGTTAAATGATTGAATGGACTGAGTTATTGACCTTGGTTTTGTTGGTTCCATAATCTAGAACTAATTGTCTCAGAGAAAGTTGCACAGTATCGGGGGAAATAATTTACCTATTTAACAGCATTGATACACTGCAGACATTGTGCAAAGAAACCCATAGTCCAGAGGTTGTCCATATGCTAGATCTGGCTGACAGACAAGTTTATTTTAAAAATGTTTTTGATTTTTTTCAAGTAGCTGTCATTTTTATTTTTAAGAGTTCCTCTTTGAAACTGGAATATTTAAAATCATTGCATAGTTAGCTGAAACTGAGTGGTAGCTGCCTGCTTTAGATTATGTGGACTCTTAAAATCCTCACTACTCACTCCCATCTTTCTGACACTGGTTGCTTCCTCTCAGTATACTTGCACTGTAGTTTTTGTTAAGGTTACTCTGGGGTGTTTTCTGACACCAATTATCTTACTCCAGCTAGGTGTCCAATCATTCAATTCAATTTTGACAACAACCACTTGGAATTAGCATTAGATTCCATAGATTTGCAGGTTCAGTTCCACAAGGCTGCCCTCATTTCAGATGCCAGTCACAAGTCCCAGGCCACCTGTAGTTCTCAACCACTGGCTATAAATTGGAGGTTTCCATGACCCCTTCCTGAGATTTAGCAATTTGCTAGAATGGCTCATGGAACTCAGGGAAACACTTTATTTACATTTATTGTTACAGTAGGTAGTTAGTCAGACATAAACAGGACAGGAGAGCCCCTAGCCCTCAGGAATGCCAGGCAACCATCAGGTGATGGGCAGGCAGTTGTTAAACTGCCTCTCTAAAATAATAATTGGCTGCAGCTGATTCAAGGGAAACAGGGTCTCCCAATAGACAGAAACACCTAAAGTTGGTGATCAGCAGCTTCCTGATAAAATCTCAAGGGTTGGGTAAGTGGGCTCAAGCATGCAGCCCTCAAAAATAGCAGAGTTTAACTGGTATATGACCTTCCCCTAAGAACATTTGACCAGTAAAGAAAGAACGCCTCAAGTGAGCATATGCATGATTTTTGGTAAACACATTGCACATGCTCACCTCCCAAGTGCTGGCAGGCAACTGTGCATCCAGACAGCCCACCTCAAGGGAAGAATCAGGTGAGAAGTAATGCAACCTCAGAAGCATGCTAACCCCAAGTCAAAGGTCAAGCCACGCATTTGATCTCTCAAGTCGCCTGCTAGGACCTCTTCCAAGTGTACTTTACTTCTTTTTGTTCCTGCTCTAAAGCATTTTAATAAACTTTCATTCCTGCTCTAAAGCTTGCCTTGGTCTCTCACTCTGCCATGTGCTCCTCAGTCAAATTCTTTCTTCTGAGGAGGCAAGCATTTGAGGTTGCTGCAGACCCATACAGATTCACTGCCACTAACATACTTTAGTGCTACATGACTCAGATACATTCCCTAGTGCTAACATTACCAGTTTATTACAAAGGATCCAACTCAAGAATAGCCAGAAAATATAGATGCATAGTTCAAGGAATGGGGCATGGTGTGTAGGGCTTCCATGACCTCTCTGAGCTCACCAACCTCACGGTGTCTATGTGTTCCCCAGCCTAGAAGCTGTCCAAATCTCCTTGTTTAAAAGTTTTTATAAGTCTCAATCTCTAGACCCTCTCACCTCCCCAGAGCTCATGTGGTACTGTAAGTTTCAACCTTCTAATCACCTGGTTTTTCTGGTGACCAGCCCCAATCCTGAGGTTATCTTGGGGCTACACCTTAAGTCACCTTCTTGGCATAAAATCATGTGTGATCTGAACTCAGTACCTTGTTATGAATAAGAAAAGACACTCCTATCACTTAAGAAATTCTAACGGTTTTTAGTAGCTCTGTGCCAGGAACTGGGGACAAAGACCAAATACATTTCTTATTACAGCACAGTTACACTACTTCATGCACGTACATTATATGTCTGGTTGTTGTGGGCATTTGAGTTTGTGACTTTTGCATGTCAGATCCATGATTCGTACCTGAAGCTTGCTGCTTTACGATGACACGTTTCCAAATTTTCGTTTACCAAGAAACCCGACAAAAAAAAAGTCAGTTAAAAATTATTTAGTTCACATTGTGGCATCTTATTATGCTTTCACTTAAAAAAAACACTTTATTTCTTATCCAAATAAAAAAAGTACATAGTTCAAAAAATGCTAAAAATCTAATGCAATGGGATAATAAATAGAGACTTCTTTTTTAGTTTTAGCTGATGCCTAAAGGCCAGGAGCAAAAAAATAGCTGCCAAATACCCCTGCATTCTGAAGCTGGTCTGTTGTAGACCTACGTTATATAGACTCAGCAATTGTGAAACATTCTTCCAGCCTTCATAATCACCCACATTCAGCAATATGATGGGAGGCAGTGGAAGAGAAGATTCCTGGAAAGTGTTGTCACATGCTATGTGGTTTTCACTACTATAAAGTGGAGGGAAAGGAATGACTCCCTCACATCTCAAGATACATGAGAGGAGTCTTAGAGGATCACTATGATAACTTGTACACAACTCTTAGATTTTAAAGGAACATGAGAACTAATAAGCAACTCACATCTGGAAAGGCTAAAGGTGAAAATTAGCGGGTGGAGTTGCCTGCCTGGAGCAGAGCAAAAGTAGGAGGCTGCCTTGTAAGGAAGCTACTTTGCCTGGCAGGGATATGAGACTTTCTCCCATGAGCCCCATTGACCCATAAGATGTTCATGGTCTGGAGACAACTTAAAATAGTATATCTTATAGGCTGAAAGTGTTATCATTGAATTTAGAGCCCGAGGTTACCATGCTAGGAGGACAGGTAACCAATGGCGAGCCATTATTGTCCACAGCAAACAAGCTTCAGTGATGGGAACCTTAGAAAAAGTATCCTGGGCCAGGAGTGGTGGCTCACGCCTGTAATTCCAGCACTTTGAGAGGCCCAGAGGGGGTGGATCACCTGAGGTTAGCAGTTTGAGACCAGCTTGGCCAACATGAAGAAACCCCGTCTCTACTAAAAATACAAAATTAGCCCGGTGTGATGGCTCATGCCTGTAATCCCAGCTGCTCGGAGGCTGAGGCAGGAGAATCGCTTGAACCCAGGAGGCAGAGGTTGCGGTGAGCTGAGATCGCACCATTGCACTCCAGCCTGGGCAACAAGAGTGAAACTCCGTCTCAGAAAAAAAAAAAAAAAAAAGAAAAAAAATTAGCCAGGCGTGGTGGCGGGCGCCTGTAATCTCAGCTACTTAGGTGGCTGAAGAAGAATTGCTGAAACTCCGGAAGCGGAGGTTGCAGTGAGCTGAGATCGTGCCATTGCACTCCAGCCCGGGCCGACAACAGCAAGATTTCGTCTCGGAAAAAAACAAAAGACAAAGTATCCTGGAGAAACTCACAAAAGTGCCCTCACCACAGAAAAGAAATCAGGAGGTTAGGGAAAAGAAAACGCACTAAATAGAGAAGAAGGCTTTCATTCTCTCCCATCAGCACACCCAGCCCACAACAATACTGAGGCAGGATCCAGGAAAAGCTTTAAATTGGGAAAGAATATGGATTTCGACTATTATGACCTGAGTGTGGACAATGCAGTTACTATGCTGGGTCTAAAAATGAGCAGAGGATACTTTATTGTCTGAGGATAACCTAAAATAGTTATTGCACCTATTAGAAATTTTACGCAAAAAAAAAAACAAAGAACAACAACAAAAAAAGACCGCAGCTAATATTTGAAACAGCAGAGGAAGCATCAATTTGTTTTCTCCTTGCACATTATTAAATTTTGTCCATATAATAAAATATTACCCTTATATTAAAAAAGAAGCTGTGTCCAGCAATTACTCTCTATCTTTTAGTCATGCTTTCTAGAGGCAGCCACTTCCCAATTTTTAGCTGCTGCTTCTGGTGTTTTCTGGTGTTTGCATCCATAAATCTAAATATGACACATATTCTGCTTTTTATTGATTTGTTTTTTGAGATGAGTAATTGCTCTGTTGCCCAGTCTGGTCTTAAACTCTTGTGTTCAAGGATCCTCAGGCTTCTGAGTAGCTGGGATTACAAGCACAGGCCACTATGCCTGGTTTTGATTGATTAATTTTGACAGAATCTATTTAATTTTATGTTACAGTAGTTAAGAGTTTGGATGAGCTAACATCCCTCCTCTCCTCTCCATATTATATTTTTTGGTGAACTCAATAGTCAGTTTTTACATTACTAGGACTACGCAAATTACAGAGCCAAGTGGTATACCATGACTATATAGGTGACTCTTGAACAACATGGGTTTGAACTGCATGGGTTCACTTATACATGGCTTATACATGGATTTTCTTCTCTTTATTCCACCTCTGAGACAGCAAGACCAACCCCTCCTCTTCTTCCTCCTCCTCAGTATCCTCAATGTGAAGATGGTGAAGACTGACTTTTATGATGGTCTACTTCCATTTAATAAATAGTAAATGTATTTTCTCTTCCTTATGATTTTCTTAGTAACATTTTATTTTCTCTAACTTATGTTAAAGAATATAGTATATATAATATATATAACATACAGGGTGGATTAATTAACTATGTATGTTATCCATAAGGATTCCAGCCAACAGTTGGCTATTAGTAGTTATGTTTTAGGGGATTTGAAAGCTATACACAGGTTTTTGACTGTGCCAGAGTGGGGAATGGCACCTCTAACCTCCGTGTTGTTCAGGACTCTGCTTCTTTTTTAAAAGAACAGTTAATTTTACCTGGAGCTAATTATTGTCTCATTTTATCCATTTGTTTAGTGTTACATATAGCAATTGCTATTTTTTTTCCTAAGTACTACCAAGTCTGCCAAATACCTTGCAGTAATATTTTCAAAGACTGCCAAACCTCAGATGACCTATCATTCCCATGCTTTTATTTTTTCTACACCCCAGCCTTCCTTCATATAACTCTTTGTGTTTTTTGCTCTAATTTGGACAGATTTCTTTCTCACCCTGGCAAATAGCAGCCACCCAGAGACTTCTTTTGCCCACATTTTGGAAATTCCCTTTGCCTGTCTTTTTTGTTGCTGAGATCTTTCTTTCTCTATTCCCTTATCTTGCTGAAGCATAGCATTCATTGGTCACGTAGTAAGGTGCATGACAGGCAGTAATTTTTTACTCTTATATGATAAAAATTTCGCCCTCACCATTGGTTAAGAGTTTGGCCGGATATAACATTTTAAGTTGAAACTCCTTTTTTTCTCAACATACTGAAGGCATTGCTAATTGATTTTTAGCATCCGGAGTTGCTCTTGAGAAGTCTAGTGACGTTTTGTCCTCTTATTCCTTTGAATCTTAACTTTTTCCTGTCTGAATTTTTAGAATTTTCTCAGCATCCACATTTTGGATTTCTTAATATTCTGAAAGTTTATAATGCTGCCTTGGTATGAATCCTTTTTATTTAATGTGGTGGAAGCTTGCTGAGTCTTATCAATGCAGGGATTCATGTCTTTGGTTTTAGGAAATATTTCTTTATTACTTCTTTTATAATATCGCCCTTCTTTTTCTCTGTTCTTTCAAAAACTTTTATTATTCAGATATATGATCCCTTATATTGGCCATTTAATTTTTTAGCCTTCCTTTCTATTTTTGATATCTTTTTCTTCTCCAAGGTGATGTTATTTTCCAACATTTTCAATTATTTTTCTGAATATTTTTATTTTGGTTGTAACTTTAAAATTTTCAAAATCTCATTCTTCTCTGATTGTTCCATTTTTATGACATTATCTTTTACCAACTCAATGTCTTATCATTCTGATGCTTCTAATTTTTAGTTTTTTCAAAATAAACTGGTCATGGGCTCTGTAAATTAGGGTTGATTTCCACGGTGATATTTTCTTTAATACATTTTAATTGTTTCTTCCCTCCAAAAAATAAATAAAATGTACCTGGTTATTGAAATGTCTACTTTCTTCATTCTTTTTTATTAAACTGTGGGACTATTTGTTATTATGTAGGCAATGAAAGTAATAGAAAATAGCTATTTTTTACATCATTTAATACATTAGAAATTATTTCTCCTGTTGATATTTATAGTGTTTGTAGATGAATTCTGGTCACAAAAATACCCGTGTAACAAATCAAGATTGAAAATTAACATTCATTCAGAATCTTAATTTTGAAGTCAATGTTAATATAGAATAATAAACTTCTTTTGCAGATTAGCATATGTGTAGAATTACTTAAACTTACATTTATAGAAAATCACAATTGTTGAAATTATATATGGTTTTTGTGTTTTGTTGCAGTTGATGCAAATTTGGGGATTATACTTTCACAAAAAATATGCAGAATTTTCTTCTTGGAGCAAAGAGCAGCATATATTTGCCTTTTGCTGCAGTCTAATGAAAGCCTGCCGCAGTCTGTGCCACATGCACTGCAGATGCTGCAACAGCAATAATGTATTCATGATGTGTGCAACTGCATTTTTACTGGAGCAGTTTCGAGATGTGTTTACTCAACTTCCGGCCTTTCCAGGGAACATAAATATAGAGTACTTCATATAATATGCATATCTATCAAATTTGAAGTAGAAAAGACCCATACAAATGGTAATATAAAAATCCATGAAAGTGATGGGGAATAAAGTAATAAAAATTCCATTCAGTACAACTCGGACTCGGACAGGTAACCTATGAAGTATTTGTCATTTGGATGGAGAATGTCTACTTAATTCAAAGAATTTATGCTGTAATCTGCTAGCCCAGTATTTCAACAAGTCAAATAATATTCCATATAATATCTATAGCTAAATATGAGGAAAGGTGGATATAGCCCCACCCTAAGGTGAACGTGATTCTTTAAATA
This sequence comes from Homo sapiens, assembly GCF_000001405.40. Lineage (NCBI taxonomy): Eukaryota > Metazoa > Chordata > Mammalia > Primates > Hominidae > Homo > Homo sapiens. Next base: position 69,518,810 of record NC_000001.11, on the reverse strand, counting down.
GTGTATTAGTCAGGGTTCTCTTAGAGGTACAGAACTAACAGGAGATATATATATATATATATACATATATATGTATATATACATATACATATATATGTATATATATACACACATATATATGTATATATATATACATATATATGTATATGTATATATACACATATATGTATATATATATACACACAGACACACACACAGACACACACAGACACACACACACATATATATATATATACATACACATATATCAAGGGGAGTTTATTATTAACTTACATGATCACAACGTCCCACAATACGTTGTCTGCAAGCTGAGGAGCAAGGAGAGCCAGTCCAAGTCCCAAAACTGAAGAACTTGGAGTCCGATGTTCAAGGGCAGGAAGCATCCATCATGGCAGAAAGATGCAGGCTGGGAGGCTAGGCCAATCTCTCCTTTTCACGTTTTTCGGCCTGCTTTATATTCACTGGCAGCTGAATAGATTGTGCTCACCAGATTAAGGGTGGGTCTGCCTTCCCCAGCCCACTGACTCAAATGTTAATTTCTTTTGGCAACACCCTCACAGACACACACAGGATCAATACTTTGTATACTTCAATCCAATCAAGTTGATACTCAATATTAACTATTAGAAATAGTGAATAAAACTGAAGTGTATATATCAGTAGAGCTTTAAGCAGTTTATAACTGACATATTTTGGTTATTGGAATTATAAAGGTTTTTTTAAAGAAAGTTTGATATAGACACTCAATTTTCCCTCGTATTTCTTCGTTCCTCTTCCAATGTAATAGCGATTAGCTAGGTAGTGTGCAACTTGTTATAAAGGTTACACTTCTAAACCTGCATTTGCAGCAAAGTTGGCCATGTGATTAAACTTTTGACCAGTGGAATGTAAGTAGACGTGATGAGTGTCATTTTCAAGTCTGCCCTTATTAGGAAGGGGTAATGATCACAACTTTCTCTGGCCTCTTTCTTCTCTTTGCAATGCCTGTGCAGTGATGAGACTTCTTAGACTACTGAGACAAAAGCAACCCTTTACAAATTATGAAGGCTTTCATTAAATCATGTTGCAAGGTCAACAAGTAAACTCACACTTTTACATAAACACAAAATTAACCTCCCCTTTTTAAAGATAAGCTCATCTCCCAAGTCTTTCACAAAATCTTGCTTGATCTACCTTGTCTGAATTAGTCTCTCCCATTCCTATACTCGCTTGGCATATAATTATTCTCATATTTTGATCGTATTGCCTTTTGGATTGTTCTGTATGTGTGTGTTTCTGTCACCCTCATTATATTGTGACACAGTCATGGTCTTACCCTTCTCATTTCTACCAAGAAGCAATGATCACACTGTACTCCAGTCCTACTGGATTTCTTGAATGAGCCAAGCATATTCTTTACTCAGAGATTTTATATTTGCTATGCTCACTATGTGGAATACTAGTCCTCTAGATATATAATAATATAATAGTAAATTATATTATATTAAAGATATTATGGCTCATTTCATTCAGGTCTGTGTTCAAACACCATCTCCCCAAAGGTCTTCTCTTACTTTATCTCTTTTTTTTTGAGACGGAGTCTCGCTCTGTCGCCCAGGCTGGAGTGCAGGGGCGCGATCTCGGCTCACTGCAAGCTCCGCCTCCCGGGTTCGCACCATTCTCCTGCCTCAGCCTCTCGAGTAGCTGGGACTACAGGTGCCGCCACTAGGCCCGGCTAATTTTTTGTGTTTTTAGTAGAGACGGGGTTTCACCATGTTAGCCAGGATGGTCTCGATCTCCTGACCTCGTGATCCGCCCGCCTCGGCCTCCCAAAGTGCTGGGATTAGAGGCGTGAGCCACCGCGCCTGGCCCTATTTTAACACTTTGCTCTGCTTAAATGAAGTCAGTAAGGACACTAGATCAGAAATTTCAAGGAATTGCTGAGATAAAAAGTAGAGAATATCAGCAAAACTTTCCTGAGGTGATGGGAGTGATTTGTTGAAACTGAGTTCAGAGAGCATAGATAGAAGTGAAGGGACAGAAAATGATAGGGTGATCGCTTGGTGATCTGCTTTTGGAGCAGTTGGATGGTTGTCCCTTTCTTTCCTCATGGTTGACTGAATAGTGAGTAGTTGGTATATTTGCTTGCAGCTTTAAATGAGTAAAAGTCTACATTGAAACCTGGGAAATCAGATAGTGCTCACATTAGCTAATAACTCTAGCAGGGATAGGTGGCACCCGAACTCCAAAGACAACTTACTAGCCCACTTCTCCTCATAATCCTTCACAAGAACCAGAGGCAGGAGGGCAAAGAGAGAATCTCAGTACAAATATGGGAAGATAGCCAGTAATCTCTGACAATTTTTAAAAAGGTACCATGAAAGAGAGACACCTAACTAAACATCAATATTGGTAAAATAAACAGGGCAGGGTGCGGTGGCTCACACCTATAATCTCAGCACTTTGGGAGGCTGAGGCAGTCAGATCATCTGAGGTCAGGAGTTTGAGGCCAGCCTGGACAACATGGTGAAACCCTATCTCTACTAGAAATACAAAAATTAGCCGGGTGTAGTGTATGTGCCTGTAATCCCAGCTACTCGGGAGGCTGAGGCAGGAGAATCCCTGGAACCCAGGAAGTGGTGTTGCAGTGAGCCAAGATTGTACCACTGCACTCCAGCCTGGGTGACAGAATGAGACTCTGTCTCCAAAAAAAGAAAAAGAAAAGAAAAAAAGAAAAATAAATAGTATTTATGAAGATATAACAGACTATTTCTGAGGATGCTGTGTGTAATTTAAAAACTAGAAAAACTGGAAAAAAATGTTGACTATCTGGGAAAAAAATCAATAGACAGGATAGTAGAAGAATGAGATAAACTAAAGAACTATAAGCAGAAAGTTTGAGCTAAAATATTTCCTCCTAAATGCAGTTGAGGTGAGGTATTTTGAGGTTATGAACCAAATTTTCTTTTCTTTTTACTGTCTCTTTTCTTATTGTTCTGTGGCCATTTACCCATGAAACCATTCACTGTAACAGAGAGAAGACAGATACTGACTGAACAAAGAAGTGACTGCTCAGCTTTGAGTTTCAAAATAGAGATTGTAAGTTCCGAGATCGGGACAATGGCTTTACTCTTTATACATTCTTTATTTGTATTCATTTCTCCCAAAATACTTTAAACATTTTTTTTTATTTTTGAAGGAGGATACAGAGGTGATGCTTTCAGAGTCCTGGTGTATTTGAGAGTGTCTCTATTACCAATACAAGTAAATGACAATCTTGATGGGGTTACGTTCTTGATTTGTACCCTTATTGTTCAGCTTTGGACACTGCTCTATTGCTCACATCTATAGTTGCCAGAGAAATCTGAGGTCAGCCTACTTTTTATTCCTTTATAGGAGACCTAGTACTTCTAACTAAATGTTTCTTGGAGGAAGTAAATATTTTAAATGTAATTATGTAGTATACATATATAATTATAAATACAATGTAAATAATAAAAATTTAAAATATAAAATTTATGACAAAAATTTGTAATTGTCAGGCTTTCTTATTTATTTATTTTTTACTGCCAAGTAGATTCAGTGAGTCACTTTGTAGATGCAGATTTATGCCATCTTTCATATCAGGAAAGTTTTCTTTCATTTATATTTTGAATTTGATTTTCTTTGTGTGTGTTTACTAGCTCAGTTCTCTTCTCCAGGCACACCAATAATCTTTTTGCTGGATATCTGTTGTCTTTCTCATTTATTACCTTTTCATTGATTGTTTTTCAGTGTATTATTTGTGATTTTCTGAAGTCTCCACCACATGTCATTGCTTTGGTCTTCTGAAAAGTTGACTGCCTTCTTTCTTTTACTAGGTTTATACATAAGTTCTGCACTATCATTGTTGTTCTCTATAATTTATTGCCTTGTTCTGTTTCAGTCTCCTTCATTTAATTGATTATCATAACTTCTGCTTCTTAAACCCACGATTTCTTTGCTGTCCTTGACTGCAAAATATATTTTTGGTCACATTTTTGGTTAAGGTCCTATTTTTTTTCTATTTACTTATGTTTAAGTAGAACAAATGCTATTTAAGTTCATTTGTCATGAAATACTACAGGTGAAGTCTCCTTGACTCTCTCTTATGTTTATCTGTGTAATCAATGAACACATATTTATTGAATTTACAACTGAGCTGTATATTGGTTATTAGCATCCTTCCTTAACCTGGTCCAGACTGTTTTGTATCAGATGAGTTTTCACTAGAATTTGTGGCAAAATATTGAGTTCTATTCTGGAATTGGGGTAGACAATATTTTTTTTCTCTATTTGGGCTTTTTTTGTTATTATTAAAATCCTTGGTTTTTAAAGATGGTGTTTGGAAATATATTTATTCCAAAATTTTCACAATATTTGTTGGAAGTCCTCCTTAGTGTTTTCCATAATGCATTTGGCGTATTTGTTATTGATTATTTTGTACTTCATATACAAAGTATTCTTTCTAACATTTACTCACCAAAGTATACCTATAGGTCACATAAGAAGAAATACAACACAAAAAGTTTGTCCTGTCTATAAAAAACTCAGAGATTACTTGTTATAAGCTATTTCCATAAGCTCCAGGAAAAAAATTAAAAAAAAAACAGAGAACATAAACCTTTTATGGTAATGTATTTAGTACAGTAAGTCCTCATCAGCTTTTAGCAGAACGGAATATAAAAGTATACACACATGTATGCATACTGGAAAAGCTATAGTTTTCAATTAACATGTATTTTGCATGGAACTATAATGAATAAAGTATAAGAGAAGACTGGTTAGAAGAAAAATTTTAAAAGTACATTTTTATTTCCTGCACCCTTAGCACTACAAGCTTATCACTCATATTTTAAATATAATGAGCAAACTCAAGCTACTTCACATTTCTCATGCTTTCAGAAAGTGGTTAATTTCCTACTATGAATAATACAGAAAATATTCTATAGAGAATTGTGGCATGCTCTGACTAATACTGTGAGAATATCACCAATATTATTTAGTCTTTTGTAATAGGTCAGGGCAGTGGTTTCAGGAAAATAAATAGAATAGAATGTTATTCTAAAACAACAACCAAAAAAAGAATACCAAGTTTTATTTGTTTATAATGGCCATCACCAAAATGAGGTGATTACATCCCAAAAGTATACAAGATGATCTATTGGATTAAATAAATAAACTATTAGAACCCCTAGTTATATTTTTATACTTAAAAATGTTGTAGCTTGTTTATGGTCTCCATATCTTGGGATTCAAACATTTTTGTTAATAGCATACATAATAAAGAAGGCTGGGTGTGGTGGCTCACGCTTGTAATCACAGCATTTGGGAGGCCGAAGTGGGTGGATCACCTGAGGTCAGAAGTTCGAGACCAGCCTGGCCAACATGGTAAAACCCCCTCTCTACTAAAAATACAAAAGAATATCAGCCAGGCATGGTGGCATACACTTGTAGTCCCAACTATTCGGGAGGTTGAAGCAGGAGAATGGCTTGAACCTGGGAGGCACAGGTTATAGTGAGCTGAGATTGTGCCACTGCACTCCAGCCTGGGTGACAGAGCAAGACTCTGTCAAAAAAAAAAAAAAAAAAAATCAGAAAACAAACCACCAAAAAAAAAAAAGTAAAGAAAAGGAATGCATAATAAAGAAAAAATGGATATCACTGGATGCAGTTCATACTCCCCCTCCATCCTCCGTTGAATTGCTTTTGAACCTTTTTCAAGAATCATTTTGCTGTATGGACTAGTGTTGGCCTATTTCTGTATTTTCTGTCATATTTTTTGTGTACTTATTCACTGAAATCACACTTTTTTGATCAATGTAGCTATATAATAGCCTTAGTATCAGACAGAGTGATTCCTTTGCTTTTACTTTATTGTTTGTCATGATTATTAGAGAGTGTGGCTTTCCATATGTATTTTAGAATAACATTGTCTATGTCTACAAAAGACTTGCTGGTAGTTTGAAAGGAATTTTATTAAATTTAAATTTATAGATAAACTTGGGGAGAGTTGATATTTTTACTAAGTTGAGCCTTCCATTCCAATCCATGAACACAGTATTAATCTTCAAATATGTAGGTAGGCTGTTCCTTGATTTTTTTCATCTGTCTTTTGTAATTTTCAGAATACAGATTTTGTGCATGATTAGTTAAGTTTATAACTAAATACTTAGTGTTTCGCTTTCTTTGGAGTTGTGGTAAATGGCATTGTATTCTAATTTTGGATTGCGTATGTTCATTGTCGTATATAGAAATGTTATTGATTTGTGAGTGTTAGTATTGTATTAACTTTTGGCCTTGCCAAACTCACTTATTAGTTCTAAGAATTTATTTTTGTTTTAGTATATACTTTGGAATTTCCTACATAAACAATCATGTCATGGTGATATAGGTATAGTTTTATTTTTTCCTTACCAATATGTACAATTTTTACTTCTTTTCCTTGCCTTATTGTAAGGGCTAGAACTTTCAGTGCTATACTGAATAAAAGTGGTGAGAGTGAACATCCTTACCTTGTTCCTGATCATGAAGGGAAAGCACTGAGTTTTTCATCATTAAATAGTGTTTGCTATAGGATTTTTGCAGATTTTGTCAGGTGAGGAAGTTTCCCTCTATTCTTAATTTGTTGAGAGGGTTTTCTATTATGCATGAGTGTAAGATTTTGTCAAGTGCTTTTTCTGTATCAATTGATGCCACAATGTGGTGTTTCTTTTTTAGTCTATTGAGATGGTCAGCTACATTGGCTGATGGATTTTCAAATATTAAACAAGACTTGCATACCTGGAATAAAGCCACTTGGTCATGGTACATAATTCTGTTTACACAGTTTTGGATTCCTTTTGCTAACATTGTGAGAATTTTTGCATCTATTTGCATGAGAGATATTGGCCTGTAGTTTTCTTGGTTGCATTCTTTGTCTGGTTTGGGTATCAGAATGATATCAATTTCAGAAAATGAGTTAGAATGTTTTTCCACTTCTTCTACTTGCTGGAAGAGATTTTATAATATTGGTGTTGATTCTTTCTCAAAAGCCTGATAGAATTCTCCAGTAAAGCCATCTAGGCCTGGATATATCTTCTTCAGGAGTTTTTAAAATAAAATTTAATGTATTTAATGGTTGTAGGACTATCCAGGACATCTGTTTTAACTTGGCTGAGTTTTTCTGATTTGTGGTTTTTAAGGAATTGGTCCATTTCTTCCGTTGTCAAGTTTATGAGCATGTAGTTGTTTACAGTATTTCATTATTCTTTTAATGCTTGCCATATGTGTAGGGATATCTCCAGTTTCATTGTGCTTTGTCTCTTCTCTCTTTTTATTTTTGTTAACTTTGCTATATGTTTTTTGATATTATTGACCTTTTGAAAGAACCAGCTCTTGTTTTCATTGATTTTTATATTGTTTTCTTGTCTTCAATTTCACTGATTTCTCTTTGTATCTTTACTATTTGCCTTGGTTTTATTTTGCTCTTCTTTTTCTAATTACTTGAAGTAAGAATTTAGATTATTTATTTTATGACTTTGAGACTCACACTGCCTTATTGCAGATGAGCATGGTGGAAGTTCACCTTCTCCCTTGACCCTGATGATATTTCTCTGTCAAAGTGGGCACTGCCTGATTATATCCAAGTGGGATAGTAAGAACAATTCCCTGCTGCAGAGGAAGAAGTAGGGGGCTGATTCAGGTCACTTTACTGCTCCCCACAGAGCTGAGCTGTCAACCTACTAGTCTAGCTCTCCCTCACACCACTGGAATCTTGTTAGGTGGTAGCAGTGGTTCAGCTGGCCACTAGAACCTGCTGACACCATGTGGTTCTGCTTCTCACTCTGCCTTGTAGACACTACTTGTTAGGGGAATGAGAGCATCACTTTATTCTAGGGGCAGAGAGCTCACTCAAACCACAGGGAGCGATGGCTCGGACAGGGGAAGGTATGATTTTCCCAGGTGATATTTGGCTGAAGTAGGACCAGTGTTGCCATAAACGTTCTCTGTTGTTTAGTCACCCCTTTCCTGGTCCTTTATCAGGAGTAAGGGCTTTTTAAAAACCCTATTTTTTTCTGTGCTTATTGGTGGTGTGGATTGGAAGTGTCTGTAGCACCATTTTTGAGATGTATGAGAGGCAATAAGAAAAACCAGGGAACTCATCACTGAATCATTCCTCAAATCCTGAGTTCCCTAGGTTTTCCACATTTTCCCACCTTTTAGAGATTTCCTATGCTTACTTAGTTAGGTTCAAGCTTTTTTAATTGTAAGGAACAGAACCTGGAAGAATAGAGCTACTCCACCTTCATGGAATCTGAAGTCTCAACATTCCCTTTTTTTTTCACATTTATTTTTCATTTTTTTTAAAATATAGAGACACTGTCTTGCTATGTTGACCAGGCTGGTTTTGAACTCCTGGCCTCAAGCCATCCTCCTGCCTCAGCCTCCCAAACTGCTGGGATTACTCGGCAGGAGCAACCATGCCTGGCTTCAACATTTCCTTTTAAGCTTCTCTACTTTTGGACATCCTATCCCTAAGGTAAGACTGCTGTGTTCACCTTGTTAACCTGATGAACAACTCCTACTCACCCTTCAGGAATTCCCATAAGTGATTCTGTTGGCAGATGTAGATATGTACTTCTCTACATATTCTCAAACCCTGTGCACACCTTACTGTGTTTATTGTCATATTGTATTAAACAGATTGTGTTTGTTTATGCTACCATATCTCCACCTAGACTGGGATTTTCTTACAAGAAGGGCTTTTGCCTTGTTTATCTTCATATCCCTAATAGCTGGCACACAGTTTCTGTCCAGCTAATGTTTTTTTAATGTTTAATGTTTGTTGAATGCACAAGTTACTTTTTGCAATTAATAGGGTTTTCTATTTACATTTAGCAGGTTTACAAAATGCCTTGTATTCACTATCTCAATATCTTACTATCTTACTCTCACTTGATATCTCAATTATTATCTCACTCCTGCACTAACGCTGAGAATTGGGTTGTTTATCTAATTTTATAGACAAGGGGGCCTGGCACAGTGGCTGCCGCCTGTAATCTCAGCACTTTGGGAGGCCAAGGCAGGTGGATCACTTGAGGCCAGGAATTGAGACCATCCTGGCCAACATGAAGAAAACCCACCTCTACTAAAAGTATAAAAATTAGGGTTGATAGGTGCAGCAAACCACCATGGCACATGTATACCTATATGACAAATCTGCACGTTCTGTACATGTATCCTAGAACTTACAGTACAATAAAAATAAATAAATTAATTAATTTTAAAAAGTAGGGCCAGGCGCCGTGGCTCACGCCTGTTATCCCAGCACTTTGGGAGGCCGAGGCGGGCAGATCACGAGGTCAGGAGATCGAGACCATCCTGGCTAACACGGTGAAACCCCGTCTCTACTAAAAATACAAAAAAATTAGCCGGGCGTGGTGGCGGTGCCTGTAGTCCCAGCTACTCGGGAGGCTGAGGCAGGAGAATGGCGTGAACCCGGGAGGCGGAGCTTGCAGTGAGCCGAGATTGTGCCACTGCACTCCAGCTTGGGCGACAGAGCAAGACTCCGTCTCAAAAAAAAAAAAAAAAAAAAAAAAAGGTAGCCAGGCATGGTGGTGCACACCTGTAATCCCAGCTACTGAATAGGCTGAGACAGGAGAATTGCTTGAGCCCAGGCAGCAGAGGTTGCAGTGAGCTTAGATTGTGCCACTGCACTTCAGCCTGGGTGATGGAGGAAGACTCTGTCTCAAAAAAATTAAATCAATACATAAATACATAAATAAAGTTTTTGAATAAGAAGAAACAAATTAAAAGAGTCACTTCTATTAGAAAATTTACGTCATTAGAATGCTATTTTGACACTGTAGTTAAGGGCTTCTATATGGAAAGTGGGAACAATGGTAAAGAAAGCTGTAATCACTGCTGCAAAACTGTTTTCTATTTCCAATCAAGTAGAATTAAAACCGAAAATGTCCTTGTGACAGATAGAAAGAGATGAAGTGTTGATTAATGTTGTGCTGCCTTGTCTAAGGCTATGTCAATAGAATCCCGCCTATAAAAGTAAAATATATATTTTATTTTATTCTATTCATAATTAAAATCTCCATTCTGAATTTTCGTAAACAGCTGGGTGAACTAGAGTATCTGAACTGTTGGTATCCCAATGTATGAGAAATCTGGATAAAATTCACTTTCTTTAATAAAAAAAAAAGTGCTAAAATGGAATTCTTGATTTGTGGTAGTATTTGCAATGTCCTTGGCTTATTCAAATTAAATGAGTGTTTTACCTTAGTCTGGATGTCTGACATGGCCTCTGGATGGAATGAATGCTGCCTAGTTATGATGATATCAAAGCAATGAGCTAAGGTTTTTTTTTTTTAATCCTTTTTAGGACATCATTTTAACTAAAACAAATACAACCCACTATATAATATGTAAAACTTTCATCTGTAAATGTTCCAGCAATAACCAGAGTAAACTATATTTATATTGGGTCAGAGAATCTTACATTAAGCCAAAACAAACCTTGAACAAAGAGAAAGTTTCAGACAGATTCAAAATACTGCTTTTAACATTTTTAATGAATGTCTTCAAAATACTACATTTAGCTTTGGGTTACATCTTAAATAAGAATAATATCCCTAAATGATGCTTAGAAGCACATAGTGGTTGATGTAGATTTTTAAATGATTAAATAAGGTTTTAGATAAAAATTTTTTAAAATATTTGTTACTGTATATAGTTGAATTTTATCTGCATGACCTTTGTGATTTTATAATCCTTAAAACTCAACTTGTTCCTACTTTTACCTTTCTTTTACAAACCTTTTAACCTGTCATCAAAACCCAGATCTGAGCTTCATCCCAAGTCTCTTTCTTTTTTCCTCTTAAATTCCAAGCATTAATCTAGCCTGATGCTTGCAGGTTTTTTAACATACCTTTTTTCTGTCACCACATCTCCACTTAATTCAGTTTCTCATCACCTCTCACACACACAACAATGCAATTATCAACTATTTCCCTGCCACCCATCCTGCCCCCACTAAAGCAACTTCTATAACATTACTCCTAAAAGTGGGTCCATACACTGGGATTAAAAATTAATAATAATAAAATGGTGGTAAAAAAGTAGGTCCATACATCAGTAGCATGCAGAGCATTTTACCACCTGTCTTCACAAAATGATATATGTAGAAGTGGAACATGCTTGCCAATACACTGACATATATTGAGATAAAAGAAAGAAATTTCCTATGAATTAAAATCAGCACTAAACCTTAGGAGTACTCAATTTCAGTTATATACATATATATGAATATTATGACTATGGCTGGGTTGCAAATTGCTCTCCAAAACAGGATGGACAATACAGTGACAATTCGGTGACTCGGAATGTTGACACTTAAACTTGATATTTATATATTCTCTCTTCAATATCTGAACTTGGATTTATCTTAAACTCTGCTTGGCACAAAACTTACAGCTTAAAAGTCCTTACACTGCTTCTAAGAAGATAATAAATGTTATTTCTCTCAAGGAGAAGTAGCATCATGTAACATAGTAAAAATGTTAGCTCTGGAGTCTGTAATCCTGTAATCCAGACTTTTCAGACCCAATGCAGAGCTCCTTCACTGTCCACTCACTGTCTACACATTTTGCTTTTGGTTGGATCCATTTTAGTTCCTTCTCCCTCCTCTCCCTTCCCTTAAAGAGAAGACAGAGAAGGAAGGCAGATGGATTTGCAGAACAAAAGCTACTTAATAGTAAAAACATTTGCCTATCTAACAACATCATGTGAAAAGCAAAGGAGCCAAAGTGTATGAAAAAGCAATTATTATCTTTCTATTTCAAGCCACCCAAGATACAGAATAACCAATCAGCCCTCTTCCTCCAAATGGGCTGCTATTCCTAGTAGTCATTCTGAAAACAACAGTATTTGCTTAGGTGTTGGTGGAGAGGAAGATACAAAAAACAAAACGAAACAAAAAAGTGGTAAGAAAGCACAACACATTAGAATTCAGACAAGGTTTTGAATTCTAAATCTTCCATTCTATATGTATTTTCAGGTTACCTGCAATCTTTAAATTTGGTTTTGTCACAATAGAGTTATCATAACTATTGCTTCAGAAGGAATTAGTAATAGCAACAATGCTAACTAATACTTATTTACAGTTTATTCCATATTAGGATAATCTAAGAGCTTTACACATGTTACTTCATTTCATCATTCAGCAACATTGTTGGATAGGTTCTATAATTATTAAAATGAAGAAATTTAGGCTGATTTTTGCCTGAGGTTATTTAAGCAAAAATTGGCAAGTCAGCAATAAAACCTGGTACTGTCTGATTCTGGAACTTGAGTTTCAACCACTATACAATACTGCATTGAAATAAATAAAAATATTTATGTGAATAACACATGCATATCCTGTGCTAAGTATATGGTTAGCACATACTGGTTTCTTTCTCTCCCTCCCTGATTTTATTGATAATGTTAGTAGCGAAACAATAAAATCGTAATAATATTGTTTCTGTTTCACAGACCCAGATATCAACAAGTATAGAAAGGTTTCAAACATTTTTAAAGAATTAAAAACAGAACACAGGAGTATAATAATCAAGAAAAACCTTCTGGAGAAGTAGAACTATAAAATGACCTTAAAGGAGATGATGCATATTGACTCAAAGGAGGGAAGTGAGGAGGCACTTTACATAGGTACATATACTAAAAAGTTATTGTTTTAAATAAAAATCACTTGTATAATTTTTTTCATTGATTTTACAGACCCCGTCTTACAAAGTTCTTCACTTGTCAATAGAAGTTAAATACCTTATTTCCCCAGTAAAATTTACTTTGAGTAGTAATGACCTGTTTTAGTTCCGTGGGCCATGTCCCTGGAAACTCTTTAAATCTGAGAGCATTCAGTTCTTCATTAACATCCTGATTTACATGTCCCTGGTGCCTCTACAGCTGCTTTATTTAGTATAGGCCCATTATTGGAAATGTTTTGGTGGAATCAGAGGCAAATGTTCTCTTGCTTCCCTGGACATATGATGAACAATCAGAGGCATTCAAAAGCAAAAAGATGCTTAATAAGTAAAATAGAGGTAAGTAAACTAAATAGTCACAGTTTTTTTTTTTTTTTTTAGCAGAAATAATGTATTACTGTGAAGCCATCTACCAAATTAAGTGAATAAGATGTGATTTATGATTGTTGCATTAACTTGCTACTTAGGAGTAGTTTTCTTTGGGCTGGAAATCTGTTGCACTTAGTTAAATAATAGAGTCATGTGCATCCATCTCCAGACATAACAAGTGTCTGAGTGTATACTCCATTTTAAAGTTCTCTGTCTACCTAAACTATGCACTGTGCTACCATTTTATTATGTGAATAGGCTCAGCCAAAGACAAGGTTAAATGCTTGTACTTGTAAAGTGTTTTTGAACTGTTGATAGGTTAGGTCTATAATCATTAACAAATTAAGTTTTACCTATATTTATAAATAAAAATCCATGGTGCTTGCACTTAAATGTCTGTAAAATTGATAAAGGCTGAATAAAGAAATAAAAAATATCTGGAAACTGTAGTTAATGGAACTATTAATTAGAAAAAATATGGGTCAATTTTTATGATAGGTACCATGATAGGGACTGAAATTCTCCCCCAGAATTCATTTTCCTCTTACTAATTTTGGTAATAGATTCCAAAGCCCCCAAATTAAGGATGAGGATGAGACTAGCCTGCTAAAGACCACACTAGTCATGTGACTAAGTTTGGGCCAGTGGGATGCAGGTTGAAATAACAGGTACAGCATGTGTCAACTTCCTGAAGATAAGCTGTCTGCCCTGGACTTCCACTCTTTCTTGCCTCCTCCCTAACAGACATGAAGTTCAGCTAGTTTCAGCCACGAGAAAGGAAAACCACACCGTAGGATATGACAGGGTGGAAAGAACTGAAGTCCTGGGCTGGCCTTGCAAAGGAGAGTTCACCTACCTACCCTGGTCTGTTAGTGGCAAACAAACAAACAAACAAAAAAAACCCATAAAAACAAAAACAACTATTTCTTTTTTAAGTAACTACAATTTTAGATCGCTTTGTTACAATATCTTAGCCTGTACCACAACTAATAAATGAACTTCAGATGTATTTCCTCATTTAAGTTTTAAAACCACCAGCTATCTTGAGTATTATCTCCATTTTGCTCTTCTGCTCAAAACACTAGGCTACATAATAATTAAGGTTTTCAGCTCATATAGAGTGGAGAAAAGATTTGAATAGATAACCCATTTTTTAACATTATATTATTATTTTTTCCTGAATTAATTTCCCCTTTCCATTCCCATGTAGTTTGCTCCTGGATTTTTCTCTCTTCTGCTCCTAGGTGTCTTGCTCCTCTGTGAGTTCCCTGGTTTTGTCTTGCATCCTCAACAGCTCTCCCTCGTCATTTCTAGATTCAACATTTCCCAGAACTGCAGTAGCAAAGTGTTCTGGTTTGTAATGCATAAATTTTCAGAATATATAACTGAAAAACTTGAACTGGAAAAAATTCCATTTTTTCATGAGTTTATGTGAACTGAAAAGAAATAAATCTGATTGCATTAAAAAGATCAATTCAATAAAATAAATATGCTCCGTTCCTCGTAGGGGTAGCAATCACAATCTGGTTTACTGCACGTTGAAGACTTCTGTTCTCGGCTCACAGTCTTTCTCTCCACGCATCGTTAGTAGGTTATATATCAATGATCTCTGTGGAAACTTGAATCTGAGTTCTTTCCCTCTCCACCTCCAATGACTATTACTTCCACCCTAGTCATTTGCTCCTCTAGATACACACCGGATGTGGCAATCATCAGAAACTGAGGTTTCTCTTAGATTTAGATTTCAAATATCCCAATATCTAACCATAACTTTCTATACTTCTAAGACATTTGCTCTAGAACCACAACTTCTTTAATTATTCAACTTCCCTGAGTCCTAAACAGGCTCTCTACTATCACTATCTCTTTGCTTCTTTCCCTCCCTCTTTACTGCATTCCTTGTCCAGGTTAAATTCCCTTGTCTATAACTATACTCATATCTTAGCAAATATCCCTAGCTCACTTGCCCCTCTCTCCCTTTGTTATCACCTGATATATCCCCAATCATAGAGTAACAACATTTACTCCTCTGTGTCTGTACCCAAGGAAATGAATATTGCCAGAGATAATCACACAGCACTGGTTTCACTTTAAATTCATAAGTACAAACCTCAAACAGGTCCCTGATTCTGCACATTAGTTTTGCTGTGTTTTCCTATAACATTTATTTCTCACTCTGTGAAATAATTATTTCACACCTTGCCCCATCTGTCCCTGATTTCTCCAGTTGTAAAAGAGAAAGTACCCCTCATCTTTTCTTTCTTTTTCTACATTCCACTCTTCTAGTCTTCTTGAGAAAATGACTCTTTCTTTTAAAACCTCAATCCTCTTTTGCTCTGGCTGAAGTGCAGTGGCAGGATCATTACTCACTGCAGCCTTACCTTCTGGGCTTAAGTGATCTTCCCACCTTAGGCTCCTGAGTAGCTAGGAACTACAGCCACCTGGCTAATTTTTATTTTGTGTAGAGACAGAGTCTCACTATGCTTCCTCTTTTTTTTTTTAAACCACTGCATCAGCCAGGCAAGAGGACACTCTGACAACAACCCTTTTCTACACCGTCATTTTCTCCTTTTCTACTATGCCTGATTTCTAGACGTATATAAACGTGCTAGAGTATTTCCCATTTTAAAAATATCTGCCCTCGATCCCACATATGCCCCTAGTTTCTACACAATTCTTTGCTTTTTTCCCATAGTAAAATATTTTGTTAAGAGTCATCTACTGTCTGCATTTCTTCACATCCCATTCATTTTGTTAACCGTTCTAATCAGTCTTCTGTCCCCACTAGGCCACTGCAGTTGATGTTCTCTAATTTACAAAACACATCCATATTGTTAAATCTTGATGGGGGATTTTCTGTGCTTATCTTATTGGACCTCAAAGTATCTTTCAACTTAATTGGCCACTGTCTTTTTGAACAAATCCTTTCTCAATTTTTAATAATACTATGGTTCACTGGTTTTCTTCCAAAGAATTTAGCTTCTCTTTCTATACTAAACTATTACAATTCTGTGTTGAGCACAGTCATTGGTCTTTGTCTTTATATCTTCTTGCTGGGTGAACTCATCAATTCTTATGACTTTGAAAATCATCTTTATGCTGTGAACTCCCATATTTATACCTATAGTATGGACATTTTCCCCTGATATTCTGACTTCTTATAACCAAAGCAAGAACTGTTACCCACTTACATAGTTCATAAGCATCTCAGAGTTAACATATCCCCAAATTATAATATATAAGTTTTCTTCTAAATATTTTCCTCTAGTCTACCCTCATCTCACTAAATGGCACTAAAATAGATTCAGTTGCTAAATTCAGGAACCTGGTAATTGTTCCTAATATTTTCATCTCTTATAGATCCCACATCTGATCCAGTCCTAGTCCCATTGGTTCTATACAATGCATTTCAAATATGACTGTCTGGCTCCATCATCACTACTTCCACTCTAGTGTCAGTAACCACCATCTGCAGCCTTGTTGGAATCAGGTACTAATTTGTCTCCATATTTCCCTTTGCACCTTTACAATGTATTTGCTAAATTTTTATCTCATCATAACACTTTCTTATTTAAAACCCTTCCATCACTTTCATTGTCTTTGGAAAGAAGTCTGAATTCTTTATCATGGCACTTACTGTCTGCCTAAGCTGTTGCTTGCCCACGTGTCCAAACTCATACTGTATCACCCTCCTCCTTGCTTCATCTCTACCCTTCAGCCACTTGCTTCTGAAATTCCCTTGTATATGCTAAGTTCATTTCTTTCCTCTGCTCTGCATTTTTCTTTCATTGCAAAATCATGTTCCTGGGGATCCTTGAAATCTGCTGTGTTCTCATATTTCAGATTTAAGTTTAAATATCACCTCTGAAAAGAATTTTTTTCTATTTATTGACTTATGGTAATAAAGCAGGGGATCTTTTTTTCCTGTGAACGCATATCAGTCTGTCCAAGTTACCTTCATTGTGTATAGTATTTAATATAGAAAAGTATTATAGACTTTGCCTTGTTTTCAAAATAATTTACTAGGAGAGATGTTAATAAAGAGAAAACTTTATGGACAATTTATTTGCTAAATAAAACTTCAGTATAGCTATTCAAGGTGAAAATTAATGCACATTTTTTTTCTGATTATTCAGGTCATGGTCAATTTGCTGCAGCTTGTGCTTAGCTGTGAAATAGCAACAAAATCCAGTCCATGCTATGGTTGCATACAACGACTAGATACCATACTGTTTATCTATTCACTACAAATTCTCACTCCAGATTGAATGCCACAAAGAACCTTAGGGGACAGGGTTAAAGCCAATATGGATTAAGGTCCTTAGAAAAGTATTCGTGACACAAAGTACATAATCGAGTGTGTATTCTGCACAAAGCAGTCTTGAAAATTCAATTTGATTGATAATATGTGTTGTTACTGACTTATATTGGAATGGTACTGCTCTTGGGATAGTAATTAAATGCCTGCCTTGCTTTTATAAAACCTTTATAATTTGGTTTAAAAGTACTGTCTAAAGGTGAAACTGGATGCAACAGAACTGCAATTTTATTTTACTACCTTTCAAAAAATACACTTAGCTCTTTGTTAAAAAGTATAAACAATGTAGACATTTATGCTTTAAGTGCTATTTTTAAACTAGGTGAGTATTGCCTGAACCAATTTGGTTATATCTTTTTATAACAGTGCAAAAAAAAATAAATGTTCGGAATTATACTTTCTTAGTATAGTTCATTATGAGTAAGCCATATGTTATAAGACATTTTATGAAACTTTATCTTAGCTGTCTTCTGATTTTTCTACCTTATAAAGGTCTTCATCCCTTCAAATAAATTCTACGAAGTTTCCTTAATGGCTGTACTATATATTGTCTACTAACTCAACCTTAAATAGTAACAGTTTTTTGTCTTTTTTTTTAAGATGGAGTCTCGCTCTGTCACCTAGGCTGGAGTGCAGTGGCACAATCTCAGCTCACTGCAACCTCTACCACCTGGGTTCAAGCCATTCTCCTGCCTCAGCCTCCTGAGTAGCTGGGATTACAGGTGCCCACTAGCATGCCCGGCTAATTTTTGCATTTCTTTTTAGAGACGGGGTTTCACCACGTTGGCCAGGCTGGTCTCAAACTCCTGACCTCAAGTGATCCACCCATCTCAGCCTCCCAAAATGCTGGGATTATGGATGTGAGCCACGTGCCTGATCTAATAATAACAGTATTATGTCATCATAGCCTTTAGTAGTCTCAGGTTCCACTCAAAACTCATTTTTACAGAAAAAAAAATGTTTTGAGAAAGCAGCTTCCATGGAAGAAATGATAATGGCTAATATTAAATAATATAATATGCACTTTAACTGGAACATAAAAGCATCTTTTATTTATTCTATTTGTGAATGTATTAGTGTATGTAAAAATTTCAATTCTAAAATGTTTATTGCATATAACTATACCAATCAATACTTTAAAAATTAAACTCAAAATACATTCATGTTTTGAACCCACATTTAATGATTGCCTATGGAATTCAGAACATTGTGCTTAGTTTATATGTCATACACATGACTGTAAAGATGATCACAAATGGCTGGGCGCAGTGGCTCACATCTGTAATCCCAGCACTTTTGGAGGCCAAGGTGGGCAGATCATGAGGTCAAGAGAGGGAGACCATCCTGGCCAACATAGTGAAACCCTGTCTCTACCAAAAATACAAAAATTAGCCGGGCGTGGTGGTGTGAGCCTATAGTCCCAGCTACTTGGGAGACTGAGGCAGGAGAATCACCTGAACCCGAGATAGTGCCACTGCACTCCAGCCTGGGTGACAGAGTGAGACTCCATCTCAAAAAAAAAAAAAAATCACAAATTCTTTGTCATTTCTTTTATAGATTATTCTGTGTGGGATAAATAACTGCTTTCATTGGTAGAATAAAGTGGAAATAATGTATCCATCTTTGGGTATAGGATTTAAAAACTGGTATAGTCACTGTGTTACTTTCTGCGTCTTAATTTCCTTGCTTCCTCTTTCTCTTGAGATGCAGTCACCATGCTGTGAGGAAGTCCGAGGAGCCTTATGGGAAAGCACAGGTAATAGCTAATGCCAATATAGCAGCTGTGGTAGGTAGCCAGACTTTAAAGTGGCCATAATAATTCCTACCTTCTTGTATTCACACTGAATAGGACTGAACTGTGTGACCAACAAGATATAACAGAAATAACAGCGTGTGACCTCATAGGGTAAGCATTAAAAGCCATTGCAGCTTTTGTTTTGCTGTCTTTTAGACCACTCTGAGGAAAGCCAACTGCTGTGTCATGCAGTCCGATGATCGGTCCTTGTGGTAAGGAACTCAGGTCTTCTACAAATAGCCAATACCAGCTCCCTATCTGTGTGAGTGAGCCATTTACAAATAAGATTCCCTAGCCTCCGTCATACTTTCAGGTGACTGCAACCCTAGGCTACAGTATCATGACAGGTTTTGAGCAGAACCACCCAGCTATTCGCAACCACAAAACTGTTCTGAGAACAGGTTTTGAGCAGAACCACCCAGCTAATTCTTCCTTGCATACTCAATCCACAGAAACTGTGTTAAAAAAAACCCAAATGCTGATTATATTTTTAAGCCGCTACATTTGAAGTAAATTGTCACACAGTAATAGATAATGAATACACAAACCATTCAAAGAAGCCATCTTGGAAGCAGATTTTCCAGCCCCAGTTCATCCACTGTGTGGAACAAAGGCAAGACTTTCTCACTGAGTCCTGTCCAGATGGCAGGGCTCTACACTCTGTTTTGTTTACAGAATTTTACAGAATTTGTTTACAACAGAATTTGTACATAATTTGTTACATGTGTTTACAAAATTGTGAACAGAATGATTGTTCCTTTAAGCCACAATGTGTTGGAGTTATTTGTTATCTGGAAATTGATAACTGGAACATATGGTGATCAAGTAATATATATTCCTACTATCAGAGAGTTTACTGTATAGAGGCAGAAAAATAAATTTACAAAAGTATTATAATGGAGTGATAAGTTGTGCTATTGAAGCACAGAAAAGAAACACCTAACCTAGATACATGGGTAGGAATTCTGAGAAGGCTTCCCCGAGCAAAAACTATCTAAGTCTTTCAAGGGAACAAACTATTATTCTGATATTTAGGATATAATATGTCCATATAAATTAGTATTATTTACTTCTTTATTTCTCTCTGTCCTTGGAAATCCAAGTTCACAGCTTTCTATAATTATTGTTAAGTACTAAAATCTATGTTTACACAAATGCAATTCTGTAACATTAATCATTATTGTTGTCCTACAAGAAATAAAGCCAATATTTAATAGGAATAAATGCATTTAACGTATCTAATTAAGATTTGCTTTCTATCTTAGATTAACCATCATCATAGCTGGGGAGAGGACAGTCCATCCCGCTATCATCAAAACAGAAACGTTTCATGTTGATTACAGATCTAGATTCAGCATATTTGTTTTTGGAACCTTTATTAAACTCTTAAGGTTTCTACAGATTCTTGTCTCCCTCCCTTTCTCCCACAGCCCTCACTGGGCCATTCCATTCTCCCTGGTTGATAATGATAAGCGCAAGGAAAACAATCTAACAGCAAGCTTCTACAATTACTTGAATCCCAAAGCAGCTCACACAGGTCACCAAGAAAAGGAACTTAAAACATTTCTCAGATAAAGAGTTCTTCAAGATAGTAAGGCCAATAACCGGAATTTGTGAGACTGTAGATAAGGACTACATACTTATTATCTACATTACTTTTAGCAAAGTCCTAGGGAAAAGCAAGCATGCCGTTCACAGAAGATTTTTCAAGCACAAGTTCAAATTCATCGTTTTCTATATAATTAAAGTTCTCTAACCATGACCTTAGTTATTGTTGATGTCAGAAATACCTGGATCTACCCTAGATGAGGTGCTAATTAGATAATATGTAGCAGGTTATATCTTTTTTTCTATATCTGCATGTAGATTACATTAAATATAGAGAAGTATACTTTTTTTTTAGGGCAATCAGGGGGGTGCATATGAAGTTCATCCTTAACCACTACCTCAACTATATTTGGGGAAACATCTGCTGTGTTCTTTACTCACTTTATTTTTGTGGTTGAGAACACATTAACTTTGTGCAGTTTTCCTCTTTTTTTTTTTTTTTTTTGCCTATTTCTTTTAACATCTTGGTGAAGTATGCACTTCCTTCTAAATTCCAAAACTAAATCATCTTACTTCATCTAATTACCTTTGATGCTTTTCCTTCCTCCTATTAACAGAATCTCCTTCTCATCAATGTTGTTTGTTAGTATATCTCTTTGGCTGCTGTAGCAAAGACAAAGTAACATTGAGTTAAATAACATGGAGATTTCATGCAAGAATACAAGGGTAAATAATCCAGATCTTAAATGAAAGGTCCGTAATATTAGAGACTGCCGTCACCATGGTCTGGCTACCATATTGTAGTTTAAGATGATTGTTACTGTAATGGCTATATCCTACTCAACAGGAAAGGTATAAGGGAGGATAGAAAGTATGCTCCCTATCTTTAAAGACCTCACCTAGAAGTTGCACAGAGCACTTCCAATTCACAGCTAGAAGCTACTCACGTGACCTCACCTAGCTGCATGGGAAACTAAGAGAAACATGCTTTTGCTGGAATATGTGACCTACTAAAACTCATCCAATTCTGTGAAGATAAAATATAGGATTACTATATCCTATTTCTTTGCTATATCCTATACTATTTCTGTGATTTCTGGGGAGGCTTTTGTATACAGTAGATGCTGAACAAATATAGCTATGTAGAGTATATGTTGAAGGTTATGATAACATAAAATATTATAATTGTTTTTTCTTCTGAGACAGAGACTCCTGAAAATCTTTTATGACTCTTCTGATATCAAGAAACAGAAAACCACCTGGGCATCTCATGAATCTTAGAAAGAAGTAGAACTAGAAATTTCAAGTGTAAAATTAGGCTCCTCTGCATCTCTCAGGTGCTATAAAATCTCTCTGTACTCTTATTCTCCTGAATTGGCTGCATTTATCTACAACATTAACTCCATCCACCCTCTGGCTTGATTGATTTATGCATATATTTGGGCAATGGCCACCAGTGTAAACTTTTATTGTGACCTCCCAGCTGTAGCACATTTTACTAACAGAATCTTTTATATATCAAAGTCCTGGAGTTGGAATAATAATAAACCAGCTTCTCTTTTCTAACAATTCCACAAATCACTGGCCAACCTATATGAGTTTTCTCCAGAGTCAGGCATTTGCCCTTGGCTTAATCAGCATTTGCCAGGTGCAATTTTGTTTGTTTGTCTCACTTAGAAAAAAATTAAAAAGCAAAGTTTAAGAGGGATGTTTGTCAAAGGGCAGTTATTCTATCAAAATGAGAGAGAAGCCAGGCGGTAAAAAATGTCAGTAGTCCACTCTGCAAGTCACTTGCCAACAACAGCATCATCATCACCATCGTTTTCATCAATCATGATTCATCCTTATAATATCTGTCATTAACTTTACACTTTGTGGAAAGAACTCTATGAGATAAACACTGAAGCACATTAATGCAAATAACAAATGATTTAATTTAAGACCATTGAAAAGCTGAATGACTATAGTTTCAAGTGCCTGTAAAAGGACTAAATAATATCACACGGGGCAGGAGAGGGCTCTTTTAAGCCTAAAACACTGCAAAGAAGAAAAGAGAAACAAAAAATGTTAAAAGAGAAAAATAAGAAGAGAAAAGAAAGGGATGAACTAGAAAGAAGAAAGGAATACATAATAAAAGGAGCATACGTTTGTGTTGAGAGCTGCATGCAGGCATAAATAAAAATGAATTTCGAACACTTTCAAAAATCAGCTTGAGCACCACTTAGTGATATCAAAGACACAAATTCCAGACTGAAAGACTTCCATGAAATTGTTTATGCAAGGAATTTTTATAATAAGTAATATCAAAGTTTCAATAGTTGTGGTTTATACTATCTCAAGAAGCAAGGACAAATACAGGTTATTCATAGACTACTTCTGTTCATATATTCCATACATATTTATTGAATGCCTAGTATGTGTCAAACACTATTGGCCCTGAAGTTGGGCTGAGTCTCAGTCAGCAGTTTTTTCAGCAAACTGGCCTTACAGGTGAGCCAAATATTAGTAAATGATCTAGGTGCTTTGAATGTAAAGTTATCCAGAGGTAAAGGACTCTCTTCTGGGAATAGTGGTCTCTCATACTCTCTTTCTGTAATTGTTGAGCACAGACATAATTCTTTGGCAAATTTTGAGCTTATTTATTGACCCACTGAGAAAAATGTCAGAGATTTTGGTGCCTGAAGCATTGGTATTAACAGGAGCTATGAAAAGTTCATTTATTTCATAATTGTAGGCAATCAATATAATATTCTACATTTAGGGGGTCTTCTCTGAAAACGTGTTTATGATTTTTGGACAAAAGACTAAATTTTTTAAAAAATAAAGTGGGTTATATAGATACTGTGATGGTTAATTTTATGTGTCAACATGGCTGGGCCATGATGCCAGATATGTGATCAAACATTGTTCTGGAGGTTTCCGTGAGGGAGTTTTTGGATGAAAGTAACATTTAAATTGGTGACTTTTGAATAAAGCAGATTGCCCTCCACAAATGTGAATGGGCCTCAACCAAGCAGTGGAAGACCTGAAGAGAACAAAAGATTGACTTCTGTCAAGAAAGAGAGAATCATGCCACACACCCTTCAGACTTGAGGTGCAACACTGGGTCCTGGTTTCTTAGCCTGACAGCTTTTGGACCTAAACTGAGTAGCAGTGCTTCCTGGGTGCCAATCCTCCAGCCTGCCAGTCTGCCCTGCATGTCTTCCAGTCTGCCGGTCTGCCTTGCAGATTTCGGACTTGCCGGCTTCTATAATTGTGTGAGCCAATCCTTTAAAATAAATATTTTTTGGATATATATACATATCCCATTAGTTATGTTTCTCTGGGGAACCTTGACTCATACAGATACAAATACATTTCCTACAAATAGTTTTACCTCATTCACAGACATTTTAAGTTTGAAACACATTTCAAGGCATTGTTTCTGAGGCATTGTTTTCAGTTTGTCTAAGAAATTTTATTTCTTCATTTCTGAGGCATTGTTTTCAGTTTGTCTAAGAAATTTGTTTCTAACACCATCTCTAAAAGCAGGTATTTTGTTTTTCCCCTTGAATATCACACAAAAACTTGTATAAAGCAAATGATGACTCATATTTCTCCTAAGGGAAAATTCTGAAGTGCTTTTATGTACCCTTTTCAAAGGAGACAGTCTTGGCAAAATTCCTTTGAAACTGAACTGATATGGGATAGAGACAGATCAACATGTTGGATCTAGTACTTAAACCTGTTTGGCTGATCTTTGTCTTTTGCTGTGAGAGTTAAGTAAAATGAGGTTATATTTATAGATTCATGACTCATCTGCAGAGATCTATATATTTTCATTTTTTCTTTGCTTTTAGGCTGTTGTTAATTTCTTTAAGAAATAGTTTCCCCCTATATCCATCATTAATTTTTAGATTTATTTATTTGTGTCTCTCTTGTATCCTTGGTCCATACTGTTTATGGAGTACTTGGTTAATAGAACGGTTTGAAAAAGCACATTTAGCTCTCAGTTCAACTGAGTGAGAAGAATGACACTGAAATCCTTTCATCATTTTGCGGTGTCCCTGGTAAATATTCTCACTATTTGCTGTTTCTGCCAGTTATCATTCATGCTGTTGTTCACTCCATCACCTGAGTTGGAAGTATCACTGCTGTTCCTCGAGCTTTGAATGATGACCTGAGGTAACCAAAGTCTCCTGTGAATCTGGTTCTCCAAATTCTAACTTGGGTGTGGCTCCTTTATGTTTACTGTCTTGTAAAGATGATTTTGCTACTTTGATTTTGTAAAGTTATCCAGAGTCCTTTACCTCTGGATAACTTTACATTCAAAGCACCTAGATCATTTACTAATATTTGACACACCTGTAAGGCCAGTTTGCTGAAAAAACTGCTGACTGAGACTCAGCCCAACTTCAAGGCCAATAGTGTTTGACACATACTAGACATTCAATAAATATATATGGAATGTATGAACAGAAGTAGTCTATGAATAACCTGTATTTGTCCTTGCTTCTTGAGATAGTATAAACCACAACTATTGAAACTTCGATATTATTATAAAAATTCCTTGCATAAAAAATTTCATGAAAATTTGATATGTTGAAGTACATCATCATATTTTCCACCATACTCTCTGATTTTAGGTCCCCAGATACCTCTAGCATTACTTACCCTAGATACCTGGGGGAAAGTCCAATTAAGCTGAAACAAAGTACATTTGTGTGACACTGCTCAGTGTCCCATCAATAAATGTCCTTTGACACCAAGCCAACAAACTCTCAAGATGCGCTCACGTGTGCTCAATCCCTCTGACATTTGGATAAATGTCTACTTACCCACTTTGAGAATGACCTTTTATTTCCCACTTTGATAGGGAGTTTTAAGCCTGCTGTTCCGTAGCCCACATCTTTACTATTTGCAATGTCCCTTTGGGCTGCTAGATTCCTGTAGAGATGGAAAATTCCTTTTAAGCAGCTGTATCCTACACTCCCTTAACCCAGCTACAGGTGTTGGTTGCATAAGATCTTTGTTAAGTTCAAACCACCAAGGTCTCTCAGGACCTCTCAAACTCTCAAAACATTCCCTCCATTAAGGGAAATTTTGTTAACCCTCAATTCCTTGCTTCCTATCACTCCACATTAATATTACAGTTTGGTAAGATTTTGCTTATGTAGTAGCATCTCTATACTTGCATGTTAGTTCATATTTTCTTCTCCTTTGATATGGTTGGTTGTCATAAGGAATGTTTAACAAACAGTAAACTGAGGCACAAAGAAGCTAGTAACTAGCCCATGCATAATATTGAGTACATGGAGTACATGGGAGGTTGTTTCCCCCAACTTTATCATGCTGGCTATGTGCATGGTCCCATAGGTCCTATGTATATGTGGAGCAGAAAGGTAGGAGTTGAGAGTTCACACAATGGCAAAAAGCATTATGGCTGTGTATAGCAGTTTTGTGGTTTATATCGTTATGTGTGTGTGCGTGCAGCTTATCTCTAATCAGACAATAAAGTGGTTGTTTATAACCAAGGAATCTAAAGAATGTTCTTCAATATTGTCAATTTTGGTGAACATGGTAGGTCATTCACTAAGAATGTAGCCTGCTATTTTAATGAGAAAATATAGAGTGTTGATTAATGGTTTAAAAAAGCACATTCTTGTTGCTTGTCCCTTTTTGGGAGTCAAATTATAATAGGCATTTATCGTTAAGTGAAATAAGTAAACCATGGAATGAGTTGAATCCTAATCCATTAACAAATTATTCACTTTCTCCAGGTAAAGACAGAGATCTAAACAAATTCAGTATCACGAGATCAATGTGTCCCAAATTTTTTTAAAAATCATGGGTATTACTTACTGAATATTATTTTCACTCCTAAGGAATATCTTTGGGACTATGACATAATATTAAATAATTTGTGATTTTTTTAAATTAATAAACATTAATTTTAAAGTTTTGGGGTCTCAGCAAAATTTAGCATAAAGTACAGAGAGTTTCCATGTACTCCCTGGCCCCTGACATAATCTCTCCCACTATTGACAACCCACACTACAGTGATGTATTAGCTACAATCAATATACCTATATTGACACACCATTATCACCCGAAGTCCATTGTTTATATTAAGTTTCACTTTTGGAGTTGCATATTCAATAGGTGTTGACAAATGCATAGTGATGTGGATCTGCCATTCACAGAATAGTTTCATTGCCCTAAAAATCTTCTGTGCTCTACTTATTTATCTTTCTCCCCCTCCTAACCCTCTTGGTGTAACTCATTTTTCACTGTCTCCATAGTTTGGGTTTTTCCAGAATGTCATATGACTGAAAGAGAAAGTATGTAATTTTTTTCAGATTGGCCTCTTTAACTTAGTAATACAATTAAGTTTCCTCCCTTTCTTTTCATGGCTTGCTAGTTCATTTATTTTGTGGCTAAATAATATTGCATCATCTGGATATACCACCGTTTATCCATTAACCTACTGGAGGAAATCTCGTTTGCTTCCAAATTTTGGCAATTATAAATAAAGCTGCTATAAACATCCATGTACAGGTGTTTGTGTGGACATAACCTTTCAATTCATTTAGGTAAGTATTAAGGAGCATGATTGCTGGACCATATGAGAAAAGCATGCTTAGTTTTTTAAGATATGGTCAAATTGTCTTCCAAAGTGGCTGTACCATTTTGCATTCCCACCAGAAATAAATGTGAGTTCCTATTGTTCCTTGCCAAATTCCTTGGCAGCATTTGATATTGCCTGTGTTTTGTATTTACGTCATTTTATTTTATTTTATTTTTATGTATTTTTTATTTTTTGAGACGGAGTCTCGCTCTGTCACCAGGCTACAGTGCAGTGGCACAATCTCAGCTCACTGCAACCTCCACCTCCTGGGTTCAAGTGATTCCCCTGCTTCAGCCTCCGAAGTAGCTGGGACTACAGGCACGCCACCACCCCCAGCTAATTTTTGTATTTTTAGTAGAGATGGGGTTTCACCATGTTGGCCAGGATGGTCTCGATCTCTTGACCTCATGATCCACCCACCTCGGCCTCTCAAATTTAGGTCATTTTAATAGGCAAGTAGTGGTAGCTCATTGTTATTTTTAATTTGCAACTTGTAAATGATATATGATGTTGAACATTTTTTCATATGCATACTTTCCATCTGTATATCTACTTTCGTGAGGTGTCTGTTCAAGTCTTTTACTCATTTTTTTAAAAACAAGTTGTTGGTTTGTCTGTTGAGTTCTTAAGCACTTTTTGTGTATTTTGGATAACAGTCTTTTATTAGATATGTCTTTGGAAATATTTTCTCCCATTCTGTGGCTTGTCTTCTAATCTTTCGATGTTGTCTTTCACAGTGTAGAAGTTTTAGTTTTAAGAAAATCCATTTTATCAATTGGTTATTTCATGGAATGGCCTTTTATGTTATACCTAAAATATCATCACCATACCTAAGGTCATCTAGATTTATTCTTGCATTATCCTTCTAAAAGTTTTATTGTTTTATAATTTACCTTTAGGTCTATGATCTATTGTTAAGTTAATGTTTACAAAGGATGAAAGATCTGTGTTGAGGCCCTTTTTGTGTGTGCCTGTGGATGTCTCTTTGTTCTAATACCATGTGTTGAAATGGTCCCTTTGTTGAGTAAGTATCTTTGCTCCATTGTATTGCCATTGTCTTTGCTCCTTTGCCAAAGATCAGTTGACTACATTTATGTGAGTCTATTCCTGGGCTCTCTATTCTGTTCCATAGATCTATTTGTCTGTTCTTTCACCAATACCATACAGTCTTGGCTAGTATTGTTTTATAGTAAAATCTTGAAGTTAGGTAGTGTCAATCCTGTGACTTCTTCTCTTTCGGTATTATTTGATTATTCTGGGTAGTTGGCTTTCCTAAATAAAATTTTAGAATCAATTTGCTGATATCCTCAAAATAATTTGCTCAGATTTTGCTTGAAATTGCCACTCCTGCCTTTTCTTTGATTAGTGTTAACATGGTATATCTTTCTCCATCAATTTTATTCATATATTTTTATATATTACATGAAGTAAGTTTTTTGTAAACAATATGTATTTGGATCTTGCCTTGATCTACTTTGACCATCTCTGTCTTTTAATTGGTGTATTTAGACCTTTGACCCTTAAAGTGGTTGTTAATATAGGTGAATTGATATCTACCATATTTGTTACTGTTTTCTACTTGTTGCCCTTATTTTCGGTTCCTATTTTGTCTTCCATGCTTTTTCTGCCTCTGGGGTTTTCACTGATTCCATTTTCTTTCTTTTCTTAGCATATCAATTATATATTTCTTTTTTAAATTTTTAGTGGTTGCTCTAGGGTTTACAATATACATTTACAATTAATCCAACTCCACCCTCAAACAACACTGTGTCACTTCATGAATAGTGCAAGTATCTTATCAAAACAAAGTATTACTAATTCCTTCTTCTATCTCTCATATTATTGCTGTCATTCATTTCACTTATATATAAGTGTATACATAAGTGTATATATGTATATGTATATATGTAAGACATATATAAATATTTAAATATGTATAAATTACATATACATATATAAAATATATAATCAAATACGTTGCTACTATTATTATTTTAAACACTGTCATGTGTTAGGTCAATTAAGAATAAAAAATGGAAAATATTTTACTTTCATTTATTCCTTCTTTGATGTTCTTCCTTTTTAAATGTAAATCTGAGTTTCTGACCTCTACTATTTTCCTTCTTTCTGAAGAAATTTTTTTTAACATTTTTTGCAATGCAGGCAACAATGCCCTTGGCTTTTGTTTGCCTGAGAAAGTTTTATTTTTCCTTCACTTTTGAAAGGTAATTTTGCAGGGTAACAGAGTTCTATACTTTTTGTTTTGTTTTCTCTCAACACTTCAAATATTTCACTCTATTAATTTCTTGCTTGTATTTAATTCTTGTATTTGCTCCTCTATAGGTAAGGTGTGGTTTTCCTCTGGCTCTTTTCAAGAGTTTGTCTTTGTCTTTGATTCTCTGAAATTTAAATATAATATTTATTTTTTGGTGCAGTTTTTTTAAAACATATCTTCTGCTTGGTCTTCTCGGAGCTCCCTGAATTTGTGGTTTGGTGTTTGACATTAATTTGGGGGAAAGTCTCAGGCATTCTTGCTTCAAATAGTGCTTCAGTTCCTTTCTGTCTTTCTTGTCCTTTGGCATTCGCATTACACATTAGCATTACCTTTTGTAGTTGTCCCACAGTTCTTGAATATTCTGTTCTTTTTTCTAGTTTTTTTTTTTTTTTTCTCTTCACTTTTCAGTTTCAGGAGTTTCTATTGTAATACACTCAAGCTCAAAGATTCTTTCCTCAGATGTGTCCAGTCTACTAGTAAGTCCAGCAAAGGCATTTTTCATTTCTGTTAGTGTTTTTGATCTCTAGCATTTTTTTAGATTCTTTCTTATAATTTTCGCCTCTGTTTACACTGCCAATTTGTTCTTGCATGTTGTCTGCTTTTTTCCATTAAATTCTTTAACATATTCATCACAGATTTTTAAAAATTTCTGATGCGACAATTCTAACATTCTTGCTGTATCTGACTCTGGTTCTGATTCATGTTCCATCTCTTCCCTTTTTAGTATGCCTGTAATTTTTTGTTGGAAGTTGTGCATGATGTTCTGGTAAAAGGAATTGTGATGAATGAGACTTTGATAATAGTGTTAAGGTGTGAAGGAAAGGGATGCATACTGTGGTCCTATGATTAGGTTTCAGTCTTTTGGTGAGCCTGTGCTCATGAACTATGAACTTCTCAAGTGCTTCTCAGTGTTTCTCCCCTCTTAGGTAGGACAGGATGGCTAGAGGGCCTAGAACTGGCTATTTTCTTCTCCCACCTGGAAGCCTAGCGGGAACTTGAGTTGGGCATTTTCTTTTCCCTAGGTAGGTCAGACTCTGATAAAAACCCCAGCAGATTAGGTTCTGGTAAAATAGCTTCTCCTGAGAGCAGGCCTTGTGAAGAATAGACTGTTCTGGTGTATTTTAAGATGGCTCCTTTTTGTGAAGGACCTCTTCAAGGAGAACTACAAACCACTGCTCAACAAAATAAAAGAGGATAAAAACAAATGGAAGAACATTCCATGCTTATGGATAGGAAGAATCAATATCGTGAAAATGGCCATAGTGCCCAAGGTAATTTATAGATTCAATGCCATCACCATCAAACTACCAAAGACTTTCTTCACAGAATTAGAAAAAACTACTTTAAATTTCATATGGAACCAAAAAAGAGCCCGTATTGCCAAGTCAATCCTAAGCCAAAAGAACAAAGCTGGAGGCATCATGCTACCTGACTTCAAACTATACTACAAGGCTACAGTAACCAAAACAGCATGGTACTGGTAACAAAACAGAGATACAGAACAATGGAACAGAACAGAGCCTTCAGAAATAATACCACACATCTACAACTATCTGATCTTTGACAAACCTGACAAAAACAAGAAATGGGGAAAGGATTCCCTATTTAATAAATGGTGCTGGGAAAACTGGCTAGCCATATGTAGAAAGCTGAAACTGGATCCCTTCCTTACACCTTATACTAAAATTAATTCAAGATGGATTAAAGACTTAAACGTTAGACCTAAAACCATAAAAATCCTAGAAGGAACCTAGGCATTACCATTCAGGACATAGGCATGGGCAAGGACTTCATGTCTAAAACACCAAAAGCAATGGCAACAAAAGCCACAATTGACAAATGGGATCTAATTAAACTAAAGAGCTTCTGCACAGCAAAAGAAACTAACATCAGAGTGAACAGACAACCTACGAAACGGGAGAAAATTTTTGCAATCTACTCATCTGACAAAGGGCTAATATCCAGAATATACAAAGAACTTAAACAAATTTGAAAGAAAAAATCAAACAACCCCATCAAAAAGTGGGCAAAGGATATGAACAGACAATTCTCAAAGGAAGACATTTATGCAGCCAAAAGACACATGAAAAAATGCTCATCATCACTGGCCATCAGAGAAATGCAAATCAAAACCACAATGAGATACCATCTCACACCAGTTAGAATGGCGATCATTAAAAAGTCAGGAAACAACAGGTGCTGGAGAGGATGTGGAGAAATAGGAACACTTTTACACTGTTGGTGGGACTGTAAACTAGTTCAACCATTGTGGAAGACAGTGTGGCGATTCCTCAGGGATCTGGAACTAGAAATACCATTTGAACCAGCCATCCCATTACTGAGTATATACCCAAAGGATTACAAATCGTGTTGCTATAAAGACACATGCACACGTATGTTTATTGCAGTACTACTCACAATAGCAAAGACTTGGAACCAACCCAAAAGTCCAGCAATGATAGACTGGATTAAGAAAATGTGGCACATATATACCATGGAATACTATGCAGCCATAAAAAATGATGAGTTCATGTCCTTTGTAGGGACATGGATAAAGCTGGAAACCATCATTCTCAGCAAACTATCGCAAGAACAAAAAACTAAACACTGCATGTTCTCACTCATAGGTGTGAATTGAACAATGAGAACACTTGGACACAGGAAGGGGAACATCACACACCAGGGCCTGTTGTGGGGTGGTGGGAGGAGGGAGGGATAGCATTAGGAGATATATCTAATGTAAATGACCAGTTAATGGGTGCAGCACACCAGCATGGCACATGTATACATATATAACAAACCTGTATGTTGTGCACATGTACCCTAGAACTTAAAGTATAATAAATAAATAAATATATATATATATATATATATATATATATATATATATATATATATAAAACAACAACAAAAAAACCCAAAAAACAATAAAATGGCTCCTTTTCTCCTCTCCCTGACAGAAGCAGGGAGGGGATTTTTTTTTCCCTGACATTCATTGTGAGGACCTGGTAGGTCTCCTGGAGGGAAAACTCACTAAAGCATGAAGGCTGTCCTATGATTACGTCTACCTGAGATTTTTAACTCTCATACTTGTCCATATCAAGCCTCCAGCAAGTGGTCAATTATAGTTTAGTTTTCCTACTTCTTCAGTAGTTCATGTGGAGGTTCCTACCGTGGGTTTCTGCTCCAGTGAAGTGTGATTCTCTGTATCTGCCTGTCTGTCTCTCTAATTTTGGGAGTAGCAGTGTTTGAATTGAGTGACCTGAAATCCCTGATAGATGTAAGAAGAGTTGTTGATTTCTCAGTTTGTTTAGCTTTTCACTTGTTAGGGTAGAGTGGTGACTTCTAAGCTCTTTATATGCCTGACTGGAAACCAGGAATTTGTGGTTTGTGATTTTTCCTAAATAGTAAATTATTTTTCCCCATCTAGAGAAAATTTATTTTCTTTCTAGTTTGAAGAAAATAAGGCCATTATTCATAATGTAATGGGACCATTAGCATAATATTTCAAACTTCATTGATTCTTTTTCAACTACCAAAATCATGCTGTTTGTTGATTTGATTCAAGAAAAGGCCAGAACATGTGTCCATAGGATTGTATATCACTCTTGCTAATAAAAAATAGAGACCAAGGTTAGATTGTTTCCTGATGAGCATAAGCAAAGCAATGTACCTAGTTTTACCTGTACGTGATAGACATCTGTATAGGCTGATGAATTCTTTTTATATTTAAAGCACCCTTGAGACAATCTTTGGTCAATCAAAGTCACTTTCCAGGCCCTGGGAAAATGTCAGGAAAATAATAACATGTATTTCTGGGTACTTACCAGGTCCTTGTAACAAAATTTGCCTTTGGTAGATGACTTAGTAGGTTTTCAATAAGTAATTATGGATTTAAAAGAATAGAAAAGTTCAGAAAATAGTTTAGCACGAACATTAGAATCATCCATGAAGCTTTTAAAACTACAGATACTGGGCTCTACCCATTAAGTTTTCTGATTATGTAGACCTGAAGTAATACTTAGATTTATGGATTTTAAGAAATTTGAGCAAATAATACTGAAGCATATGAACTGGGCCAACTTGATAGGGTAAAATATACACGTCACCTATTTGGCAGCTCCTCATGAACTATTTCCTGTCTTACTCAGTATTGATGTAGACTAGATGAAGATGGAACCACAAATGAGATATCTCATTGATATTGTGACACCACAGCATAAGTAGGGGCTATGAAGTCATTTTTACATTGATTTGAATTCTGGGTTGCCTATATAATTGAGCCAGCTTCCTCCTTCATAAAGAGGAGATACAACTACCCATGGAGTTCACATAATGATTAAATAATCATGTAATAAAACTGACCCAATAGCTGGTGAAGAGTTGGTGTTGAGTAAATAGCTCTCTCAAATTACTCCCCATCTGTGCCTATGCGACACTTGCAATACAACATGTGATCGAATATGCTGAGAATGGTGGAGCCCACCACACAGATATGCCAATTCTACTGATCAAATCAATAGCAACAGACTTGCTGAGGTTTCCAAAGAGAAACTGGTTAGATTTTTTTAATTAAAATGGCTGGTTACCCGATTATTATTGATAGATTATTACTAAGAAAAAAGGTGCTTTGTTTTTAGAATTTTTGTTTGGCAGCATTTATTATTTTACTGCACACACAAAGAATGCATGTGTGTGCAGGTGTGTGTATAAAGGTGGAATGATCTTATGCAGAGAAATGTCTTCTGACTTTTCTTTTTAATCTAAGTAGTGTATGTCCTGATACACCCTGTATTTTCTTTCATCCATGTTCTTTTATTTTCCGAACTTTATTCTATCTTGAACCAGGTTGTGATGCTTTGCTAAATTTTTCCTGTGAGAAAATGATTTTGAGGTTGTCAATCCATCAGCCATGATGACTGGGAAATATTTGAAAGAAGATACAAAGTGTACTTATCCGGAAGCTGAAAATATAAAGCAGTGTTTTCTACTTGTCACTGTAAGAATGCATGACAAATTCATTGTTATCCCAACTTCACAGTTGTCAGCTATTCTACATACAGTGGTCACACAGACACTGTGGTTGTCACTAACAGCAGAATCTATGTATTGTTACAAAACTGCCAAATATCACGGCACTACCAAAAAGGGAAATGACAATTACACCTAGTAAGACAAAATATATCAAAAGGTTCATGATGTATTCACCATGTAGTTGGACAACTTTGGCAATGAGGTTAATATGCTCTTTTGATATGCATTGGGGTATGGAGGGGTATGTTTCTTTCCATTTTCATTCTATCTTCTAGCCAGCTTTCCTATATATGTTTACAGCTGGCTGTAGAAAAGATAATATGAAAGAGCATTTATCAGTTATCAAAATGGAGAACAGGAAAAATAAATTATCCAAGGAGACTAGCTTGTACCAGGCACTGTGAAAACTGCTGAGGATATAGAGTTAGATATGTTAGAGTCTTTACTTTTAAGATGCTCACAATCTATAGAAATACAAAATGAAAGCTCTAATATAAGTGTGGCTTGTACAGAATGGAGCTGCATGTGGCATGCTGTGGTAATATAGAGACATGCAGGAGTTAGGGGATGCTTATCTGACGAGATGAGAACTGTTGGTATATAAGCCAGAAGAAGATTGGTGGCACAAGGCATTTTAGGAAGAGGAAGTAACCAGCTCAAAGCCACTGAGGCAAGAATGAGCGTGGGGCTTCAAGGAACTTGTGGTTCAATGTCAGAGTTTTGAGTCAGGGTAGTTACAGCAAAAGGTGATGCAGATAGGGCAGGCAGGATCAGGTCAGAAAGATTTTCTAAGCCACATAGAAGACCCTAAGTTTTATCCTGAAAATAATATGATACCAGTATAAAAGCAAAGAACATATTTACAGAAAAGTGTTGTAGCAGCGTGGAAAATAGGAGGAGAATAATATTAGAATTATATCCCTTTGGTTAAATGCCGTGATACTGTTACTCAGGTTTTACTCCCTTAGATGATTCTTATGAATGTTGCAAGAGGAGGATGTTAAATTACACAGGAGCAGATCACCACTATTTCTGTAACCATGGACAAATGATACATCTCTCAAAAGCAAGTGAGATTCATGTCTGCCTCCAGGGACACTTCTCATTAGATAAGGGCAGTGCTATAATGGCACTCATGCGATAGAAAACCATGCTGCGCGTGAAGACTTGTGGTGGAAAGGCATTTTCAACAGTTAGAAAACAGAATGCACCTTCCACTGTTTGATCCAGGAATGCAGTTGCAGGTGCTGCCAAAGAAGAAAAGCCTTCTGGCACTCTGTGGGTAAGGTCTCTGATTATTGCTTCTTGCTTACTTCAAAGATGGCCATCATTATCTGAAGCTCACATATCAGGATTGAACTCAGACCAAATCAAGAAATAAACTAGCCCATTAAATTTTAGAAAGTTGTATTGAATATGTTCAAAGCTTTGGGTTTCAGAAGTCCCTGAAAATGCTGAAATGTGGCATGAAGACATTTGGAAACTACTAATACGATCCCAACCCTTTTACTTCATTAATTGTCTTAATTCTTACAGAAAAGGAGAATGGACTTGTTCTAAATAGTTCCAAAAGACTTACCTAGAGAACATGAAAGGAAATTATAGGGAAGTAACTTTTGTTTTAAAATAATAAAAATATTTTTAAAACTTAAAGCTTTCCAATTTTATAAAGCAGTAAATTTTCTGTGGTTGGCAGTGTTTAGATTAGATGTATGTTTGTCTGAGTATTGGCTCCAGGCAGTGGGGAAAGTTTTTTTATATTTTTCCAATTTTTAAACAATTTTTGTTCTATTGAAGCAAAGTGAACATACCCATGTAATTGACATGTAGTTCTAGAAATAAATATTGCGCATGAAGATGTAAAAGTGAGAAAAAGAAACTATAAAACCAATAACAACTTTTCTAAAAGGTTAATGGATTTGATGAAAAGTCTGTCTTTACCCTGAGACTATTTTTTGCCTCTATTTAGGTGTTCAAATCCCCTTTTTATTGGAAAATAATATTTGTAGATTTTAGGTTTTATTGGTTGCTGTTTCTATTGTCATTAACTTAACAAAATGGATGAGTTATCGAAACAACATTTGTTTCTGTGGACATTTCCTGAAATGCATGTCTTTCTTCAACCATGAAATCCCAAAATGTAGAAAACTATTTATAGGAGATAACTGAAAGGGTATTGATTCACTGGATAGTAAGGAATGGACAAATTTAAAGTTTGTTTCCAACCTGGAAATAAAACCAAATAAATAAAATTTTATTCCAAGCTTTAAAATTTTTCTCTTTATCGTCTCTATTTAAAAGAAAATATTTTTCTACCTGTTTATCTTTCTAGGTGAGAGTAGATCTAAAGTATGTATTTATATTTATTTTTATTTAGCAAATGCATTTTCTCCTTTTTACAAATTTTAGCCTGTGTAACTCAAGAGATGCTATCTTTAATGTGAAGTAGTTTATGACTTCATATTTAAAAAAAGAACTGCAAACAAATTAAATTAGGACATTTGCAGCTATTGCTTGAATAAACTATACATCTGAATTTAACACAGCAAATATAATAGTTTGTGAGAAAATAAAGATGCATGTATTTTGTTTCTAAGTGAAAAGCCTATAAAAATTTATAGAGGATATTATGTATTTTAAAGTGACTATTATGTAAAAAATTAATATTTTCTGCTTTGCCATAATTGTAATTTGTCAGGAAATTTTACAATACAGATAGAATTATTTCAAATTGATTACTACTCCTGGAAAAGCAACTCAAAACCACACTACTGATGATAAATTAGCTGCATTATTTTTGCTTACAGAAAGATGGGCATTTACAGAATGATGGTTGAGCAGAACTGACTGTTTGCCCAATCAAAAACTCTGTCTGTCATGCTTTATCTTGCAGCCTTGAATAATGTCCTCATTTTTCAAAACTTTGTTATTACGTGCCTGCTCAAGTACAGAAATACAATTGTGTCCTCTTTGCCAGTTTGCTACAGATAAAAAGGAAAAATCTACCAATCTAAGTCTAGATAACAGATACATAACTTATGAATCTATTATTTCTCCTGATGGTAAAATAGATCAGAAAGAGGCATCCAGGAAAGGAGGATATTGGACATATAGTAAGTGCTTTAAACAGATAAGCCACAATTTTGTATCATGTGCAACTAAAGCCTCAGAAATATTTTTCAAAGACTCTGTCTAAAGTCATTGAAAAATAAAAGAAAAATGAAAGAAGAATGGTAGTAATTAATAAATGTTTATTGAACATAGCCTGTGCAAAATTCTGAGAATACAAGGAAGAATACACCAGAAACAACTGCGAAATGAACTCATGTGCTGTTACAATTATGAAAACTTCCCCCATAGCTCTACTGACATGCAGTCTTTGAAATTACTCCTGGCCTGCCCATATAACACACTTCTTAACTTTGTAAGTGATCAAAGAGAATTTAAATTGAAATGACATATATTATTTATAATTATTAAATCATCCAAAATTAAATATAAAATTGTTCGCTGCTGGAGAGCCTGTAATAAAAATGCAGCAATTATACATTTTATGTGGCGTTATAGATTGGTACAATCCTTTTGAAAGGTTATCCAAAAAAAGCCTTTAATGAGCAATACATTGTTCATATTTTTTTAAACATTAAAGGATTTCTTGCTCCTGGGAATTCATTTGGAAAAAAATAAATTCCTCAGGGGAAAAAAAAACACATTAATTACTATGCCCACTGCAAAAAATTTTAAAAATAAGATTATTGTAAATGCAATAAATAGGAAGACATTAAGAAAGTTATAGAACACCAGTTCAGTGGAATATAACATAATCATAAATATTTTGTTATAAAATAATTTGGCAAATTTCTGGAGATATTTATTGTAGGGACCTCTTCTGGCAATGGTGGGACAGTTTGTAGCAGACTAACACTTTTACTATGACTTATGAAAGTCAAGGAAAAAAAACCCACAAAAATCTGTAAGATATTAGAGAATTTCTAAGCTACCAGGATATGAGGGGCCAGATCAAACAAAGAAGGAAAATTCACTGAAGTGTTTCCAACTTTCTGCATTTTTTTTCCTCTCAATGCATTTGCCCATTTTCAGTATGGGTCAAGAGGTCAAGAGGCCAAGAGGCCAAAGAACTGGCCAGAGTAGATGCTGGCAGAGAAGCCACTCAAGTTTCAAGACAACCTCTTCAGTATGGAAAGATAAAAATTTGGTTTGCAGTTACCAAAGCAACCTGGGGTTGAACGAATAAGATCTTGGAGAGTACAAAGGTGCAAGTAAGTCACCTTGACACTGAACACATGTTTAACCACCAAAACATTTACCATTGCAGTTGTAAATGGCAAGAAGCTAAGAATTATGTAGAAAGTGACTATAAAAAAGAGGAGTTTTTAGCAGTCTTCTGATGCTGAGAAAAGAAATGGAGTTTAGGAGCCACCAAGAAGGAGAGCTCTAAAATACAACCCAGGCTGTCAATTGATAATTCTGGAGGGCTTTCCTCTAGGAAGATGGAGAAAAGAGTTTCAGCCAGACTGCAAGCCAGCTTCAAGTCAGTTCAGGCATGATTAGATCTAGGTGATTTGTTCTTTGTTACTCACCAGAGTAGAGGGTAAATCAACTCTAGAGAGGGATAACTTTATCCCAAGCCTGTGGAAAATATATTTTGACATATCAAGAATTAGGATCAAGAGAAAGGATGTATGGTAAAAACAAATCCAAACTCTTCAGAGGATTATAATAGGATTCAGCCTTGCAAACAGCATTCACAATGTCCACAGTGTAAGCAACAACAATGAACACAAAAACTCAAAGCAGAAAAATGCAATCAATTTTCAAGAGAAAAGACAAAATGGAGGATACCAAGAAGACTCACATGTTGAAATTAGCCTTCAAGGACTTTTAGTAGCTATTGTAACTATGCTCATTGATGAAAAATAAATTACTGATTTCTTATTAGAAACTATAGAACCAAAAAGATAACAAAATAACATTTTCAGAGTGCTAAAAGAAAAATAATTCAACCTAGAATTCTACATGCAATGAAAATATTATTTAATACAGACGGCAAATGAAGATATTGTTAAAAATAACTAAGATAATTTATTGCTGGCAGATGTATGCTACAAGAAATGCTAAAGAAGTACTTCAGATTGACAGGAAATGATTAGATGGAAATTTGACTCTTTAGGAGGAAATGGCAAATGGCATCAAAATTTATTAAGTATCTGGGTGATTTAAATGTCTTCTTCAATTTCCTTTGAAATACATGTATTACTTAAAGCAAAATTATGACATTTTCTTTTGTAGTTTATAATATATGTTAATATATTTGATAATTATAGCATAAACAAGGAAGGGTGATCTACATGATTACAGAATTTCTACACTTGTTTTATGAAATACTACAATATTAGCCCTAACTAGACTGTAAAACATTATTAATGTTTATTGAAATACCTTGAAAAACCACCAAAATGGCAATACTAAAAGGCACAACTAAAGTACCAATAGAAAAATTAAACCAGAATTCTAAAAAACGTATTTAAGCAATGCAAAAGGCAGGTCAGGAGAAACAGAGACCAAAAGCACAGAGTGAGATTAATGTTAATCAGTAAACAAACAATCATCATGTTTAAATTTGATCATGTAATTAATTGTTTAAACTTTAATGTAGTAAACACTCTAAAATTCTAAGATTGTTAGAATGGATTAAAAAAAAGGAAGATCCAACTATTTGTTGTCACAAGTGATGCATTTTAAATATAGACAGAGGGGCCGGGCGCGGTGGCTCACGCCTGTAATCCCAGCACTTTGGGAGGCCGAGGCGGGCGGATCACGAGGTCAGGAGATTGAGACCATCCCGGCTAAGAAATGGTGAAACCCCGTCTCTACTAAAAATACAAAAAAATTAGCCGGGCGTAGTGGCGGGCGCCTGTAGTCCCAGCTACTTGGGAGGCTGAGGCAGGAGAATGGCGTGAACCCGGGAGGCGGAGCTTGCAGTGAGCCGAGATCCCGCCACTGCACTCCAGCCTGGGCGACAGAGCGAGACTCCGTCTCAAAAAAAAAAAAAAGACAGAGGGCGGCTGAAAATAGATGGAACAAATACACAATGCAAACAACAAGCAAAAGAAGTCTAGAATCATTATATTAATATGAGATAAAATAGACTTCAAAATAAGCAGTGTTACAAGAGAGAAAAAAAGGACATTTTACAATCATAAAAATGTCAATACATTAGGATGAACTAAAAGTCATGTATCTATATATGTATATATATACATACATACAAATTGCATTTTTGGGTCTTCATTTCCTTATGAAGATCTGGTGACACATAAAACTTAAGTAAATTTGTATACTTCTTCCTGTTAATCTGTCCTATGTCAGTTTCTTTTTATTAGGCTCGGCTGAAAAACCCAGAGAGGGTAGAGGTAAAATTTTGCTTCTCCTACAATACGGATGAATCTATAGATAATATATCATGTCCATGGATTGGAAATTTCAATATTATAAAAATGTCAATTGTTTCCAAATTACTCTATATATTTACTGTAATCCCAATCAAAATTGCAGTAAGATTTTATTTTTTATGAAAATGACAAGTAATTCTAAAGTATATACATATGGAAATGCAAAGAGCAAACAATAGCCAAGACTATCCTCAGGATAACAAACCTTGATGCTTAACATTGTCACTAATCAAAGTTTAATGTATTTAATGTAAGAGCTACAGTCAAAAATAGAGTGCTGTGTTGGTGGAAGGACTGACTAACAGACAAATGAAATAGAGTCCAAAAAAAAACTGACTGACACATATGCTCATAAGATGACACTAGTACAATGGAGAAATAATGTTTTTTAAAATTAAAGGGTCCTGGGTCATTTGCATAAAAAATAGCACAGCTTGAACTCTACCTCAAATCATACACAAAAATTAACTCCCAATACACTATTTATATGAATGCAAA
This sequence comes from Homo sapiens, assembly GCF_000001405.40. NCBI lineage: Eukaryota > Metazoa > Chordata > Mammalia > Primates > Hominidae > Homo > Homo sapiens. The sequence continues at coordinate 69,477,144 of NC_000001.11, read as the reverse complement.
GAATAAACGTGAAGTTTCTAGATGATAGCATGGGAAAATATCTTTATGACTTTGAGATAAAGCAAAGACTTTTTAAACAGAATGCAAAAAGAATGTAACAACATATTGGAGGTCCTTTATATGTTATTTGCTTCTTGTCCTTTGCTGTGTTTAGGATTCTTTCTTTACCCTTGACCTTTGGGAATTTGATAATTAAATGTGTTGAAGTAGTCTTATTTGGGTTAAACCTGCTTGGTGTTCTATCACCTTCTTGTAAATGAGTGTTGATATCTTTCTCTAGATTTCGGAAGCTCTCTGATATTATCTCTTTGAATAAACTTTCTACCCTGATCTCTCTATCTCTTCTTTAAGGCCACTCTTAGATTTGCCCCTTTGATGCTATTTCCTGTATCTTGTAGACATGCTTCTTTTTTTTTTTATTCTTTTTTCTTTTGTCTCTTCTGCCTGTGTATTTTCTAATATCCTGTCTTCTGGTACTCATTATTTCTTCTTGATCCATTCTGCTGTTGAGAGACTGATTCATTCTTCAGTTTGTCAACTGAATTTTTTGGCTACAGAATTTCTGCTTGGTTCTTTTAAATTATTTCTTTTTCTTTCTCAAATTTACCTGATAGAATTATGAATTCCTTCTCTGTGTTATCTCGGATTTTCTTGAGCTTCCTCAAAACAACTATTTTGAATTATCTGTCTGAAAGGTTACATATCTCTTACTGTGGAATTGGTTTCTGGTATCTTATTTAGTTCGTTTGGTTAGGTCATGTTTTCCTGAATGGCCCTGATGCTTGTGGATGTTTGTTAATGTTGAGGCAATTAAGAGTTAGGTATTTAGCCGGGCGCGGTGGCTCACGCCTGTAATCCCAACACTTTGGGAGACGGAGAGGGGCGGATCACGAGGTCAGGAGATCTAGAACATCCTGGCTAACACGGTGAAACCCCGTCTCTACTGAAAATACACAAAATTAGCCGTGCTTGGTGGCGGGCGCCTGTAGTCCCAGCTACTCGGGAGGCTGAGGCAAGAGAATGGCGCGAACCCGGGAGGTGGAGCTTGCAGTGAGCCGAGATCGCGCCACTGCACTCCAGCCTGGGTGACAGAGCGAGACTCCGTCTCAAAAAAAAAAAAAAAAAAAAAAAAAAAAAAGAGCTAGGTATTTATTCTAATTTTTGCAGTCTGGGCTTGTTTCACCTGTCCTTCTTTAGAAAGCTTTCCAAATATTTGAAGGGAATTGAATGTTGTGATCTAACACTTGGGTCACTGCAACTATATCTGCATTTGCGGGCATCCCAAGCCCACTGAAGTTGTGACTCTTGCAGAGTCACAGAAGGTCCTCCTTGGTGGCCTTAGGTAAGAGCCAGCAGAATTCCCTGGATTACCAGGCAGTGTTTCTTGTTCTCTCCTTCCGTTCCCCCAAACAACTGGAGTCTTTTTCTGCATACTGAGCTGCTTGGAGTTGAGAGAAGGGTGATGCAAGCACTCCCACTGCCACCACTGCTGGGACTGTGCTGGGTCACATCTGAAGCCAGCTCAATACTGGGTCTCATCAAAGGCCTGTGGCAATTACTGCCTGGCTATTGTTGATGTTCATTTAAGGCCGAAGGGCTCTTTAGCCAACAGGTGGTGAATCCTGCAAGGATTGTGTCTTTCCCTTCAGGGCAGCAGGTTCCTTTCTGGCTCAGGGTGGATCTAGAAATGTACTGTGGGAGCTATGGCCTAGAATTGGAGACTTTAGGAGTCTGCTTGATGCTTTATTTTACTTTGGCTTAGCTGGTACCCAAGTCGTAAAACAAAGTCCTTTTGACTCTTTCTTCTCCTTTCCTCAAGCAAGTGTCTCTACCCACGGTAACCATAGCTAGGAATGTGCTGGGTCACACCTGAAACCAGCACAGTACTGAGTCTTACCCAAGGCCTGTCTGGACTACTTCCTAGCTACTGCTGATGTTTATTCAAATTCCAGTGGTTCTTTAGTCAGCAGGTGATGAATCCTGCCAGAACAGGGTCCTTCCCTTCAGGGCAGGAGTCTCCCTCTGGCCTAGGGTGGATCTCCAAATGTCCTCTGGGAGCTAGGGCCTGGAATGGGTGCTTTAGGAGTCCATTTGGTGCTTTATTTTACTGTGGGTGTGTTGCTATCCAAGTTGCAAGACAAAGTCTTCTTTACTCTTCCCTTTCCTTTGCCCAGGCAAAAGGAGTCTCTGCGAGAGCTATGTGCTGCATTGTCTGGATTTGGGGAAGGAGTGACATAAGCATTCCCTTGGCTACCCCAGCTAGTGTATCACTGGGTCACGAGCACACCATGTCCACAACACCAGGACTTGCCCCAGAATGGTACTCCTTGTGGCCTGGACTGCCTTTCAAATTTATTTAGTACCCCAGAGCACTTTAGTCTGTGATGGTGGGGATAGCTGGAACTCAAGCTCCAACTACTGGAACGAACAATTCCTCTCTGTCTGGGGCAGGTCTAAATGTTCTGTCCATGGCTGAATTCTGCCCTGAGTTGCTTTCCACTGTGACAGGGCAGCACTGGATTCCAATACAAAGTTCTACCATTACTTCGTTCTCCCTCTGCCAAGGGTATGGGTGCAAGAGTTGATGTAGGCAATTCAAGACTGTCTTTCCTACCCTCTTCAGTGCCTCTTTCCTTGATATGATGTTAAAGCCAAGTACTGTGATTGCTCACTTGATTTTTGGCTCTTATTAGGGTGTTTTCTTGTGAGGATAGCTGTTCAATTTTGTGTTCCTGCAGGGAGATGGTTGCTCGAGGATTTTATTTGTATCTTGCTCTACCTCTTGCTCTCCATTTTAATTTACTTAACACTAACAACAAAGGAAAAGACTGATAAAATAGATGACCTTAAAATTAAGGCCTTTATTTCTTCAGAAGACACTCTTAAGAGAGTGAGGAAGCAAACCACACAGGAAAAAAATGTTTGTGATGCATATAAATGAAAAAAGATTTGAAGCCAAAATTAAAAATAAGAACAAAATCAAAAATTAAAAATACTTCTACAAATATTTAAGAAAAAAGACAATAAATCCAATAGAAAAATGAAAAGGATTACACATGCACCCAAACAGCTAAAACTAACATGATCCGTGACACCAAGTGTTGGTGAAGATGTGGAATGCCTGGAACTCACATACACTGCTGGTGGAAATGTAAATTGGTATAACCATTTGTGAAACTGTTTCATAATATGAACTATAGCTGAAAATATGCATATCTTAACCGTGAAATTTCTTCCCTAAGTCTATTCCTAACAGAAATGTATTCATATTTGCAGCTAAGCCATGCACAAAAATATCCAATAAAAGCATGACTTTTAATAGCCCCAAGCTTGAAATAATCCAAATGTCCAAATAATTCAAATGAGAAAATGACTTTTATGTTAATATCATGTAATATTATTTGGTAATGTTAATAAACAAACTGCTCCTACATGCAAAACATGTTTGAATCTAATATGCATAATGTTGAGCAAAACAAGCCAGACACAAGGGTATCTACTCTGTGATTTCATTTACATACATTTCAAAAATAGACAAAACTAGTTAATGGTGATAGAGGTCACACTATATAATGGTTAACCTCAGAGTTAAGGATTGGGCATAAGGGGAATTTGATGATGTTTGTTAATTGAATTTTTTGGGTGGGGGTTGGGGGTGGGGAGAGAGAGTCTTGCTCTGTCGCCCAGGCTGGAGTGCAGTGGTGCAATCTCGGCTCACTACAAACTCCGCCTCCCCCATTTAAGCAATTCTCTTGTCTCAGCTTCCCAAGGAGCTGGGATTACAAGTGTGCTCCATCACACCTGGCTAATTTTTGTATTTTTAGTAGAGATGGGGTTTCGCCATGTTGGCCAGGCTGGTCTCAAGCTCCTGGTCTCAAGTGATTTGCCTGCCTCGGCTTCCCAAAATGATGGGATTACAGGTGTGAACCACAGTGCCTGACCTGCTAATTAAATATATGGAATAAAAAGATGTGTATTTTCTACAATATGAACAGTTTATAGGTTAACAGGTATCAAATGCTTTTCTTTACTCTGGTTCTCAAAAATAATCATGAGTATATTTAGTGAACTAAAAGTTTTCATTTATTTTTTGACAATATAGTTTTGTATTATTTGTTCATCTGGCTTCAACCCCTTGAGAATTCTCTCCAGGTCAGTGAGGGCATGCTATGAAACTTCTATGCATGGAATTCTAAGGATTCTAAGAGAAATCTCCCACTTTTTTTTTTTTTTTCACTGGTTACTCTTCTTTTGGATCTTTCTGATTTCTGTCTCAATGCCTGAGTTTCAGTTTGGAGTCTCTTCTATAATTTCTTTTATATTCTTGATTCTGGCTACATACTTGTAAGACAATCTCTTACATCAACTATCTATCTCTATATCTATGCCTGTATCCACACTTATCTCCATATCTATATTATCAGTCTATCTATATCCTGTAGGCAAAAACTCAGTTAAAAAATCAAGATATGGTAATAGAAAAATCTTTAGAAACCTAGGCAATATTCTTTATCAATTTCTTGGTTTTGTTTCTCTCTGTAATTTAGTTTTATTTATCACCATATATGTAGCTTTAAATATTTCACATATAGGTATTTTAAAGCCTCTGAATTTAATCATTAAAGTTTTGGGAAGGAAGAAATGAACTGAATCTGTTTTTATCCCAATGCCAAATTCCCTCAGAGACAATATGATTGGTGCAGTAGAGTCAAGTATTCGCTTTGCACTAATCAGCTCTGAAAGAAGTAAGTAGTAAGTACCTAGAATAAGGAGTAGGTAATAGAATAAATTTCCTGGAGGCAAAAAGCTGCCTGTATTGGGGGATGCTGTTAAGGAGGTATTTGTCAGGAAAGGGAGAGTAACTGCTGAATTAGACAGACACTCCAGTTATATCCTGTAGCTCTGAACCCTACAGCTTGTGAGTTGTTCCTTGACATTGCTGGACTCAGCTCCATATCCAAGAACTCTTAGCTAAGTATAGTGCCTCTCTGCAGAAAGTTTAAAGAAGGACAAATCAGTGAGCTGCTATATTTATGTAACGCTTATATCATCAGGCATCTGAGGTACTAAGCATTATTAAAAATGAAATGATACAGCTGATAGGATTTTGCCACTAAAAACTATGGTCTCTAGCTTCAATTGAGCCTAGCAATTTTTTAAAATTATTATTGATTATCTCCTTCTTTTGTTTTTCTTCTACATGCTCCCTTATTTAAAAAAATCTACTACTCTGCACACCATACCCCTTCCCCCTACCATTTACGTCACTACTTCTTTTTCAGTGCAGATGATTTGCCTCTGATTTCATAGAGACAACTTAGAATATTGAGAATGATCTTCTTTAACTTCGTGTGTCCACATCTGTAAGCATCTATTTATGTACAAATGTCAGTTTCCCTATTCAAAACTATCACATTTCGTATGCTCTCTATGTGATATCCCTTGCATCCACCAGGAAATAGAATTTACACCAATGATTCTTTCCTCTTTCTAACATGCATTTTCATGTTACATCTTCTAGGGTTCATGTTGACCTTATTTTAATAACAAAATTCTAAAGATTCCTCAACATTCTTGACTCTATGCTCATCTGGTTATTAGTTTCTTTTCATCCTGCAATTCTTCTGTGCTAAGGCTTTTCAATGGATAATTTATATTTATGGTTTCTTCTCCTTTGCTTCTGTACTAGTATGGCTATGTGAAATATGGCTCCAAACTTAGTGGCCTATAACATCTAGAATATTTAATCTGCAACTTGAGAAGGACTCCACAGGGACAGCTTATGTCTATTTTCAATGTATCAGCTAGAGCAGCTGAAAGGGTAGGTATGAAAATCATTCAAAGGCTTGCTCACTTAAGCAGTTGGTGCTGGGATTACAACTGAAATGATAGCTAAGTCTGTTGGCCAGAATATCTATACATGTACTCTCCATGTGGTCTGAACTTTCTTAAAACGTGGATAGTGGGTTTCAAGAATGAGAGAGGGGTGTCAGGGAATACGGGAGGAGATGCACAAAACATTTATTTCCTTTTATGATCTAGACTTGGAAGTCACACAGCATCATTTTTGCTGCGTTCTGTTCATTAAGGCAGTCACAAAGCCCTACCTAGGTTCAAGGAAATGGGAAACAGCCTCCACCTATGATGGTGTGTAGCAAGGTTCTGAAAGATTTGGGATCAGCAATATTGCTGTGTCCACTTTTGGAAAAAGACAATCTACCAGAACTTTTCATTTTACTTCAACCTTTGGCTATGTGATTACAGTCTTTCCACTGCAATGAAACTCGTCTATAAACATCCCAAATGACTCAATTGCCAAATCATATGACATTTATTTTGTCCTAAGGTTATTTTACTTATACCTGCAACGTTTGTCATGGTTTACCACTTGCTTTTCTTGATACATTTCCACTTTTGTTTCATTGGCATTAGTATCTCCTTATTTCCCTTGTACTACCTAGCTCTGCCTTCCCAGTCTGCATTTTAAGTACTATTTCTTCTACCTATATTTTATATTTTGATGTTTCTTTATGTTCAATTCCAGATCTCTTCTCATTAATCTATCTAGTCTGTATAAGCAATCACATACAGTCTCATAACTTAATCTACCTATTATGTGTAGGTGACTCATGAATGTTCTGAACTCCAAATTAAAACCAGTGTAACAAATTGCATAATAAATACCTGTGATTTTTATGTTCCAGAGATAACTCAAACTCTACTTCTTCAAAATTAACCTTCTTCCATTCACTTAGCCCTCCTTACATCCTCCCCACACTCCCAACATTCCCTTACCGGGGTCTACTATTGTATTTGTAAAAATACTATTGTATTTGATAAAAGTCATCCCTTGGGAAATTGGGTGTCATTCTTGATTCACTCCTTTCCCACATTGCAGCATATATTAGTAACTATGTTCCATTACTTCTAGCTTCTCATAATCTCATACATTTTGCTCTGTTTTTTCTGTGGTTGACTTAGTTCAAGCAATTATCATTTCTCTCATGGACCATTTGAATAGTCTTGTAACTGTTTTCCTTATTGTGCCCCCCAGTGCATCCCTCATATAGCAAGCAGAATGATCATTTAGAATGCAAAATGCAACATAGTAGTCTTCTGGGTAAAATTCTTTAGTGATTGTTCATTGTCTACCACAGTATGAAATCTGAAATCCTTACATGGAATAACAGATTTTCAAGCTGTGGGTATGACCCCTCCAGTTCGAATACGATTTTTCATCTAGCCGAAGAAGTAATACTGGCTACCATTTACAATGCATGATGTGTAGATTACATTCATTATCTCATCAAAGCTTTATTGTAATAACATTCTTTTATATTGGAAATTAATACATAAATAATTTAAACATATATTTTATAATTAATTTATTGTTATAATTACTACAATTTTACATAAGAAAAAATTGAGATTAAGAAAAGTAAAGTTGATGGCTCATAGTCATGAAACCAGTTAGTGGCATAGCTGGGTGGGATTCAAAAACAAGCTAGCCTACCGCTAGAGCCCAGGATTCTAACCTACACATTATGGCCACCATGAACTACTTGAAGTTCTCTGAATGTGCTAAGAATTTTAATCCAGGCATTATTTATATCTAGGTTACAAGAGAGAACTGAATCACATTTTTTTTTTAGTTTCCACACCTTGTATTCAAAGGAAATTTGTCACCCAATATTTTATCATATTTTAGACAGTAGATCTAAATCCTACAAGTGAGAAGTGAAAGTAGAAGGGCTTCTTTGCATTTTCACAATATTTAATGTTGGAAACTTTGAATATAAACTGAATTTTTCCCTGACAATTAGTTGATGTTTTTCCAGCCTTTACAATGACATAAACAGTACTTGATGCATTGCAAAGATTTTTTTCTTAAATAACTAAATGAAGGCAAGAAAGTTTTTAAGATGACAATTACAAAGTCATGAAATTTATTTATTTTTCTCCTGGGGGAGACAGACTCACAGCAAGCTTTTTGTACAGAGAAAAATAAACAAATAAAAAATAAACAGTTTCTTTGTTGAAACTGAAGGTTGTTCAGTGAATTGAAAATATGCACATAACTAGGGTATGCATATTTATGCTATTTGGAGGGTGCTCCATGTCATTTTATTAAGGAAACCAGATATAAATGGATACTGCTATGGTTTGGATATGATTTGTTTGTTTCCCCTGAAACTCATGTTGAAATTTCATCCCCAAGCGTGGTTGTATTGGGAGGTGGAGCCTAGTCGGAGTTTTTTAGGTCATGGAGGGATCCCTCACGAGTACATTAATAACCTCCTGCTGGGGTGAGTGAGTTCTTGCTCACTCATGGGGATGGATTAGTTCTTGAGAAAGTAGGTTATTAAAAAGTGTCTGGCCTCTTCGGTTTCACTCTCTTGCATCCTGTCTTGCCATGTGATGTCTTCACACCTGTCTGCTTCGTCTTTGAGATTCTCCACCGTGTGATAATGCAGCACAAAAGCTCTTGCCAGAAGTCAGGCCTATGCCCTTGAACTTCCCAGCCTGAAAAATTGTGAGTGAAATAAACCTCTTTTCTTTATAAATTACCTGTCTCATGTATTCTTTTGTAATAACACAAAACAGGCTAAGATCAGAGATAGTAAGAAATCTTTGTGAGTTTTCTCTTGACCATTCCTATAATTGCAACAGTGGTTCAAATACCTATGCTCAGTTCAGAGGTGGACATGTACCTGTATTGGAAATACTGAAATATTTAAATGTTCATCTTCTGTTTGCCTTTTTAACACATATTAAAGTAACTTCCTTATGCTTTGTTCTTGATAAGATATATAAATCCATAATCAGCCTTTGCAGTAAAAATGAGTAGTAATAAAAAATCCCACTAAAGCTTGATCTGAGTTATGTCTTACTTTTCTAGCTCAGCACTGGAGCACCTTCCTTTGTTCAATAATCTCTTACAAACCTACTCTGCTGCTAACAGTTCTTTCTCTAGCTTTGGTGATAAAAGTATCTGTAGTTTATGTTCAAAAATTTTAGCCTATTTTAAAGAAGATAAATCATTTTTATTGTGAACATAGACAAAGTGAGTTAGCCTCACTGAACTTCAGTTTGTTTTACAGTAACATGGAATAATAATAGCAATCTCGTAAGTTTGGGTGAGTATCCATGGTCTTCTTGGTGTATAACAGAAAAATTGTGAATATCCACCTGTAAGCTATGATTATTGTCCCCAACAATTCTATATTTTAAAAAGGTTCTTATTTAATAGTTATTTTCTATGTTAAAAACTGAAAACATTTGGAATATTTTTTAAATTATGAAACTTTAAATTTAGTAGCAAGAAGACATCTCTCATTATTTTCTCATCTGTAAAATGGGGATAACAATATCCCATGCACAGGATTGTTGTAGGGATTTATTGAAAAATGACATACGAACCCCTAAGAAGAGCACACAGCACATGGTAAGCACTGAGTAAACATACTATTATTATTAACATTGTGTAACCAAGGCCTACAAGCAAGCATTTGGAGGCAACAGGGACCAATACAGGAAATAATTTGATGTTCTTATTACAGGAGGTTGGCTGGTTTTCTCCAGTGAATATGCCCCAAGGTATTGGGTATGAACATGCACTAAAGATTTGGCTAGCATATATAAAGAAGTATTTCCTTTTTTCCATTCACTCTATTCACTCCAGAAATACATTTTTAAACATTTCCCAAATATGGTATCGATGGGTGTTAGTCCAGTGAACTTGACTTTTTAAGAAAAATGGAATTTCCCAATTAGAAGAAAACAATTCATCAAGTAGGAGACTTGAAAAGAAAAAAACCTTCAAGGATTATTTATTTATAAACTTAAATGCTGTTTCTTAGGTGCCATACACTGTGCCTGAATCATATTAAATAATTTAGTGATCATAATACATGATGGTGCTAATCTCTGTTTCTATTTTACATACAGGAAAATTAAGGCCTGCAAAGATTGAGTGAAAATTTCAGTGTCCCACTGCTCATATGCCTGAAGTTCATTCGAATACAAGCAATCTGGATCCAGAGCCCTTGCTGTTAAGCATGACATAGACTTTTTCCAGAAACTTTTGATGTTTTCTCCTACATAGCTCCTTTCTGCATTCTGGTCAGTGTTTCACTTTTTAGTCAGTTGCCTTACAAGACTCATGCCATGGACACAATCTCCACTTGAGGACATTAACTTTACTCTTTTATCATCACTTGGCCAGGCAAGTGTACTTAGGAAAAAGCATCTAGGCTTGAGAATAAAAATTTTGATATTGCTCTTTTTGCATTGTCACAATTCATTTTTTTGTGTGTATTTCACAAAGGAGGATCTGTGGTTAAATAAATTTGGGAAAAGCTAGGCTAAACAAACTGAAATAGAATTTTTAAATCAGATGATCTTGCAAAAATTTTAATGTACTATATATAGGGATTCTTCACAGATGGAAATTTCACAAAATTATTTTAATTATTTTTGAGACAGGGTCTCACCGTGTCACCTAGGCTGGAATGCAGTGGTATAATCATAACTCATTGTAGACTCAAACTTCTGGACTCAAGCAATTCTCTTACCTTAGCTTCCCGAGTAGTTGAGACTACAGCCATGCACTACCAAGCCCAGAAAATTTTCAAAACATTTTTTTTCTTTTTTTTTTTTTGGAGAGACAGGGTCTCACTATGTTTCCCAGGCTGGTCGCAAACTCCTGGCCTCAACTGATCCTCCTGCCTTGGCCTCCCAAAGTGCTGGGCTAACAGGCATGAGCCACTGTGCCCAGCCCCACAAAATTGTTTTTATAACTCTTCTTATTAAAAAAATCTTACACAACTAATGCTTTGACAAAAAAAGATTTTGGAAATGCTTTGTGACTTACTTTATCTCAGGGCCATATTTTCTTATTTTTATAAAGAAGAGGTTATTTCATGATTTCACCTATATAAAATTTTTGTAAGTATGATAAATAAAAAATAAAATAGCTTGTATTGACATTCATTTTAATTCATTACTATGTTTTGACCCATAATATGATCAAATATCTGATTTTTTTTTCCCTTAGGAAGCTGAAAGTTCAGTTAGAAAACCAGGCTGAAATCCATATTTAAACTAGCATAGCACATCCTCCTGCAAATTTGTGTCTTATCTCTTAACGGCGGGAAATCTCTATTACTTATCTTTGTACTCCCTGTGGCTAGCAGAGTTTCTTGAACAAAATAGGTCTGGATGAAATGAAACTAACATTGCAAGCTTTTTCAGAGAATTTTCAAGTGGAAATGTTCACTGAGAGTGTCATCAATTTTTTTTCCAGAAACATTGCAATGCTTTTGTAATATAAGCTATACATTTCTTAAAACTAATGAAAGCTTGATTGGTGACCAAATACAGAAAAAAAAATTTATTGGTAAGCAGAAAATGACTTTTGAAGATCTAAACCAAAGTATTTAAAATAAAGTGTTTTGGCCAGGCGTTGTGGCTCATGCCTGTAATCCCAGCACTTTGGGAGGCCGAGGTGGGTGGATCACCTGAGGTCAGGAATTTGAGACCAGCCTGACCAACATGGTGAAACCCCATCTCTACTAAAAATACAAAAATTAACTGGGTGTGGTGGTGCATGCCTGTAACCCAGCTACTCAGGAGGCTGAGGCAGGAGAATTGCTTGAACCTGGGAGGCAGAGGTTGCAGTGAACCGAGATCATGCCACTACACTGCAGCCTGGGTGACAGAGTGAGACTCCATCTCAATAAATAAATAAATAAATAAATAAATAAATAAATAAATAAATAAAATGTTTTGCCAGCACAAGACAAAGATGACTTCTGTCACCACTCCTAATCAACATAGTATTGAGACTTCTGGCCAGGGAAATCAGGCAAGAGAAAGAAACAAAGGGCATTCAAATAACATGATCCTATATTTAGAAAACCCCATCCTCTCATCCCAAATGCTTTTTAAGCTGATAAGCAACTTCAGCAAAGTCTTGGGATACAAAATCATTGTGGATAAGTCACAAGCATTCTTGTACACCAACAACAGGCAAGCAGAGAGTCAAATCATGAGTCAACTCCCATTCACAATTGCTACAAAGAGAATAATAAAATATCCAGGAATACAGCTAACAAGGGAAGTGAAGGACCTCTTCAAGAAGAACTACAAACCACTGCTCAAAGAAATCAGAGAGGACACAAACAAATGGAAAAATATTTCATGCTAATGGATAGGAAGAATCAATATGAAAATGGCCATACTGCCCAAAGTAATTTATAGATTCAATGCTATAGCCATTAAAACTACCATTGACATTCTTCAAAGAATTAGAAAAAAATTATTTTAAAATTCATATGGAACCAAAAAAAGAGCTCATATAGCCAAAACAATCCTATGCAAAAAGAACAAAGCTGGAGGCATCATGCTACCAGACTTCAAGCTATACTACAAGGCTACAATAACCAAAACAGTATGGTACTGGTACAAAGACAGACACATAGGCCAATGGATATAGAAAACTCAGAAATAAGACCACACATCTACAACCATTTTATCTTTAACAAATCTGACAAACACAAGCAATGGGGAAAGGATTCCCTATTTAATAAATGGTGCTGAGAGAACTTGATAGCCATATGCAGAACACTGAAACTGGCCCCCTTCCTTATACTTTATAAAAAAATTAAATCAAGATGAATTAAAGACTTAAATGGAAAATTCAAAACTATAAAACCCCTAGAATAAAATCTAGGCAATACCATTTAGGACATAGGCATGGGCAAAGACTTCATGACTAAATCACCAAAAACAATTGCAACAAAAGCCAAAATTGACAAATGGGATAGAATTTAACTTCTGCACAGCAAAAACAACTATCATCAGAACAAACAGGCAACCTACCGAATGGGAGAAAATTTTTGCAGTCTATCCATCTGATGAAGATTTAATACACAAAATCTATAAGAAACTTAAACAAATTTACCAGAAACAAATGATCCCATTAAAAAGTGGGCAAAGGACATGAACAGACACTTGTTAAGAGAAGACATTTATGCAGCTAAAAAATATGAAAAAAAGCTCAACATCACTGATCATTAGAGAAATGCAAATCAAAACAGCAATGAGATACCATCTTGTGTCAGTCAGAATGGCAATTATTAAAAAGTCAAGAAATAACAGATGCTGGTGAGGTTGTGGAGAAATAGGAATGCTTTTACACTGTTGGTGGAAATGCAGATGTAAATTCCAACCATTGTGGAAGATGGTGTGGTGATTCCTCAAAGATTTAAAACCAGAACTACCATTTGACCCAGTAATCCCATTACTGGGCATATACTCAAAGGAATATAAATCATTGTAGGTTAATTGCAGCGTATGTTCATTGCAGCACTATTCACAGTAGCAAAAACATAGAATCAACCCAAATGCACATCAATGATGACTGGGTAAAGAAAATGTGGTACATATTTACCATGGAATACTATGCAGCCATAAAAAGGAACAAGATCATGTCCTTTGCAGGGACATGGATGAAGCAGGAAGCCTTTATCCTCAGCAAACTAACACAAGAACAGACAACCAAACACTGCATGTTCTCACTTAGAAGTGACAACTGAACAATGAGAACACATGGACACAGCAGGGGAACAACACACACTGGGAACTGTTGGTGGGTAGGGTTGGGGGAGAGAGAGCATTAGGCAAAATAGATAATGCATGCTGGACTTAATACCTAAGTGATGGGTTGATAGGTGCAGCCACCCACCATGGCACATGTTTACCTATATAACAAACCTTCACATGTACCCCAGAATTTAAAATAAAAATTAAATATAAAATGAAGTGTTTTGGGTTTGTCATTTTCCTGTTTTCCTAAACTTACAAAATAATTTCTATTAAATGTGATTTTTAATAAAAATCAAACAATTCTCTAATTGTATTGTGATAATTTTTTCAACTGAAATCTCTCTAGAAATCCAGGAACTTCAGTCTGTAGTGTTCAATGCTTTGTATTGAATTTTGACAAAAAACATCAAAGATTTGTTTAACAAGCCATGTTGAGTTCCTACTGCATAATTATCTACTCTTCCTTTCATCAAAGTTCAACATTTCATAGGTCCTAAAGTTAGCAGTCAATATTCTGACACCCCATCTTGTTAACGCAGACCATCATACACATAATGGTCTTTAGTCGAACATAGAAAAACAAGAAGATTGATTTTATTTATATTTATCCCATTGCATAATTAACAGTATTGTTACTAAAAATATGGAGATCCTTTGAGATCTGAGTTCATTATCCCTGAAGCCATATGGATCAATGTCCAATGTTTGAAAACTGAGATATTTGGAGTAGCTCCACTTCTATAAGTTATTATGTAAACATGACTGTTCAAGTATTGGGCCATAGGAGAGAGTAGGCATCAAAATTATTATATAGCAGTGGTCCCAGGGTGAATTAACCTAGGCAGACAGTATTGCTTATGAAAAATGTTGCTTATTTATACCCTCAGGAGGTGCAGATAGAGGATTAAAATATAGGAAGAAAATACCTTCCTCCAGACTGAAATTTGTAGTCTGTCTCTGTTGCCTGTTAACACTCAGGTCCAGGCAATTCTATTTTAATAACCTTTCTCACCATACTGACTTGTTATGTTATATTTAGATATGACTTATACAAATACAATTTTTCCACATGGTGGAATATAAAATTCCTTGGAAATATTACCTTTTGTTATATGTAATTTTCTCCTTTGTATCATCTGTAATTTTTTTCCCTGTCTTTGCCCATAGTCATGTACCTACACCACTGCTTAAAGATTTTTTTTTTTTTTTTTTTTTTTTGAGACGGAGTCTCGCTCTGTCGCCCAGGCTGGAGTGCAGTGGCGCGATCTCGGCTCACTGCAAGCTCCGCCTCCCGGGTTCACGCCATTCTCCTGCCTCAGCCTCCCGAGTAGCTGGGACTACAGGCGCCCGCTACCACGCCCGGCTAATTTTTTGTATTTTTAGTAGAGACGGGGTTTCACCGTGTTAGCCAGGATGGTCTCGATCTCCTGACCTCGTGATCCGCCCGCCTCGGCCTCCCAAAGTGCTGGGATTACAGGCGTGAGCCACCGCGCCCGGTCTGCTTAAAGATTTTTTTTTCCTCCACAAATATTTTTTCAATATGAAATTCTCTGGCTTTAAAACATTAAGTGATGATGACATATATCCAGAAATTAAATGTCTAGCTGTGATCTATGTGTGACTTTACAAGGTCTATAAATATTTTAAATGCTTGGTATATTCTTCTTTGTTTTAATAGCAATTGTTACATTTCAGAAACAATTATTTGTTCTAGGTTTATATTATGAATGCCTAAAGACAAAAGTAAATGTCTTCCAAATGTGACCCACTCCCTTAATAAAGATGATATTTATTTCATATTACTTTTGTATAATCTTTCCAAAAATACATTACATATACTTTTCCATAAAAAGATATTAGAAGATATCAGAATGAAGTGAAAAGACCAGTAATAAACATGTAGTGGTTTATAATAATGACTTTAATTAGAAACTGTAATTCTAGAATTAGGCCCTATAAAAAGATAGACATGCAGAAAAACTCCTGTCAGAGTGAACTTTACTTTTCTTTAGATATAGAATATATATATGTGTATATATGTGTGTATATATAATGTGTGTGTGTATATATATATATATTTTTTTTGAGATGGAGTCTCACTCTCGCCAGGGATGGAGTGCAGTGGCACAATCTCAGCTCACTGCAACCTCCGTCTCCCGGGTTCAAGCGATTCTCCTGCCTCAGCCTCCTGAGTAGCTGAGATTACAGGCACCCACCACTACACTAATTTTTTGCATTTCTAGTAGAGACAGGGTTTCACCATGTTGGCCAGGCTGGTCTCAAACTCTTGACCTCGTGATTCACCCACCTCGACCTCCCAAAGTGCTGGGATTACAGGAGTGAGCCACCAAGACCAGCCTAGAATCTATATTTTATTTAGAAAATACTTCAAAAATTATAAAAATAAAACAACAAAAATCGAAACACGGTAGCAATATAAATATATATTTGTAAATTTTATAAAACTTCTGTTGCTTAATCAAGAATTAACAGGAAGCAAGAGCAAATGATGAAGAAAGTTTGCGATAGAAATAAATCTATGTGTGATCCAGATATTGAAGTTGTGAAACAGGACATTACAGCATGTTGCTGTGTTCACAGAAACGGAGGAAAATGTGGAGACAACTGGCCTACGTAAAAAAAAAATGAAAATACTGTATATGAGAAATTAATAATGGAAAATAAAAAACTTTGTATATTTATTTGAGCAACTAATTAGACCTTATAGGAGAGAATAATAGTAAATTAGAAGACAGGTCAATAAAAAGTCTGCAAGTTGATGCACAGACAAAAATAAAATTACATGAATGAAAAAGGCATGAAAAGATTTAATATAAATATAATTGGAGTCACAGTAGGAAGACGAAAAGGAACTGGGGAAAAGGCAATAGTTGAAAAAATAGTGGTTGAGAATTTGCCAAAACTAATGAACCATGTCAAGTCAGTGTGATTCAAGAATTTTTGTGAATTCTAAGAAAAAGTGTGAAGAAAACCATTTCTAGGCACATAATGGTAAAATCTGCTTAAAAACACAAAGGAAATCTACAACTTTTTCTGCAAGAACAAACAGAAAAGATGTATTATTTTCAAAGGAACATCAACGGGAATGACAGTTGACTCATCAATAGAAATGGTAAAACCAAAAATAAGAAATGGCACCATTAAAGTGCTGAAGAGAAGTAACTGCCTACCTCAGATTCTACACAAAGCAAAATTATTAATTATTAAGTAATGTAAAATTAAGTCATTTTAGACAAAGATTTAAATAATTTATTGTCAGCAGACATGCACTATAAAAACACTAAAGAGTACTCTTTAGACAAAAAGAAAATGCTCTCAGATGGAATCACAGAAATGCAGAAAGGAAAAAAGCATCGGAAATGCTAAATTATGGAAACACAAATTTTGAGTATATTAGTCAGGAGACAGAAACCAAACCAGTTATTAGAACAAAGAAAATGTGATGTGAAGAATTGTACATTTCAAAGATAACTAACTACTAAAAAGGACAGTAAAGACTTAAAGGGGTCCATTAGTAGTATGTGCATACAAAACAAACATAAAACAGCTGATATTTCTAGGTTGAGAGAATATAGAAAATAAAATTAAAAAACTGAGAACTCAAGAGACAGCTTCCCCACCCCAAAGGTGAGATGCAGACTTCTTTAAAGAGAGCATGGGTACCACAGCAAATGCTGCCTAACAGCTGTGAAGCAAGATGCCAGAGGTAATAGGGCAGGAATGATCTTTAGAAATGTCCTGCCAGTGCTGGGACATGTGGGCAGGCTAGAGTTGACATATGGAAAAAACCCTCCAAGCGGGAAGGTGGTTGCCTGAGGGTGTGGCCAGAGCTGCCAGGCAAGCACTGCAGTGGACCTTCTCAGAACCTGCCGTAAGGTGGGGAGAAATGGGTTCAGCCATGGCTGCCAAAACAGAGAAAATGGTGCACTTGGAAATGGCCATTGGGTGAGGAGAGCAAGTCCTGAAGGTTTGGTTGAAACTGGTCTGTGAGCTTTGCAGGGTATGCTAACTAAAAACATGGAATACCCCAGCCAGAAAGAGTGTCTCCTTGCTGTTATTGTCATCTATTGTCATCACAGTGTCCTCTATTGACAAAGTCTAGCATTACTCCAGATGGCAAGGGAAACATTCAGAGGGTGCTATTGAATTTGAGAAAAGCAGGCAAACAGGGTTGGGTTTGGGGCTGAGAAACAATCAGTTCATAATTGGTTTACTAATTATCTGTCTTGAGTAGTTTCATAGTATGTATGACTACAATGCATGGTAAAAATAGGGTAGAAGTTGGATGTGAAGTAAAAAGTGTTTTGTTCTAAAAACGTTACAAAATGGAAAATTAAGGAACATTCTACCTTAAATTAGTACATTTATTGTACTAATTTAATATTTATTGTTACCTCTAAGGAAACAATTAGGACAGTAAAAGAGAGTGTAACTAACAAGCTTAATAGGGAGACAAATACTGAAACATGCTTGATCCAACAAATAGAGGATAAGACAGTAATAGGAAAAAAAAGAAGAGATGGAACAAAGAACAAAAAATAATATGATAAATTAAAATCAAAATAAATTAGTATTTTCATTATGCATATAAACTAAACATCCAATTAAAAAGAAAGATTTTAATATTAGAGTGTAAAACATAAAGACAGATAAAGATTGAAAGTAAAATGATGGAAAAAGATACACTATAAAATCCATGATTAAGAGAAAGCCAGAGAGCTATACTAATAGAAGACGGCTTAGACTTCAATGTAAGAAGATATTACCAGGGACAAAAGATACTTTTCACAATAATAAAAGTGTTAATTCAATAGAAACATACTATTCATAATCTGTATGCAATTAATTACATGGATCCAAAATATCCATAGCAAAAACTGGCAGAATTATAGGAGAAACAGGAAAACCTATAATTACAGCCAGAGATTTGATCATACCTCTGTCAGTAACTGAGAGGAAAAAAACAGACCAAAAAGTTAGTGAGAGGTAGACACCATAATTTACAAAATGTTCTAATTCACATGTTTAAAACACAGCATCAATGAATGAAGAAAACACATTGTATTCAAATACTCATCGTATTAGTCCATTCTCACACTACTATAAAGATACTACCTGAGACTGGATAGTTTATAAACAAAAGAGGTTTTAATTGACTCACAGTTCTGCATGGCTGGGGAGGCCTCAGGAAACTTACAAACATGGTGGAAGGCAAAAGGAAGCAAGCACCTTCTTCACAGGTGACAGGAGAGAGAAAGAGCACAGAGGAAATGCCAAGTACTCATCAAACAAATCTCGTGAAAGCTCACTCACTATCAGGAGAACAGCTGAGGAAAACTGCTCCCCAATCCAATCACCCCCAACCAGGTCCCTCCCTCAACACCTGTGGATTACAATTCTAGATGAGATTTGGGTGGGGACACAGAGCCAAACCATATTACGCATGGAACATTTGCCAAAAGTGATAGATTACTATGCCATAAAGCAAATCTCACGATAATTCTGAGAATTTGCTGACTACAGAGAACTTAAGCTAGTATGGAATAATAAAAAAGATAGCTAGAAAATCTCCAAATGATTTGAAGTTAAGCTACACACTTGTAAGTAAC
This sequence comes from Homo sapiens, assembly GCF_000001405.40. Taxonomy (NCBI): domain Eukaryota; kingdom Metazoa; phylum Chordata; class Mammalia; order Primates; family Hominidae; genus Homo; species Homo sapiens. The sequence continues at coordinate 69,457,906 of NC_000001.11, read as the reverse complement.
TTATGGGTTATTTAAAAATAAAAATTTGAAAATATTCAGAATAAATTATTTGAATTTGACTTATCAAAACATGAAGAACAGCTAGAGATATATGTTTAGATATAAACCCATAAATTAGAAAATAAGAAAGCTGAAAATCAATGATTATAATCACCTGTCTCAAAAAGCAACAAAAAGAACAGAAAATATCACAAAATGTGTCATAAAGCAAATAATGCAATATAGTAGACTTCAATGAAATAAAAACATACATACAGCAAAGGAGGCCCAAAAAGTTGATTGTTTGTAAAAACAAATAAAATACTGACTTCTTAGCAAAACTGACCAAGACAAAAGAGAGAATGAACAATCTCTTTTTGAATCGAAGACCTAAATAAATGACAGAATATTGAATATCCATAGATTAGTAAATTCAGTATTGTAAAGATGTTATTTCCTCCCAAGAAGAAATAGGTTTATTTATAAAAAATATTTATATTTGTAAAATATTTGCCTATATCAAATGTTTTAAGGCTACAAAAATTTAGATTCAATACAATCCCAATTAAAAGCCCAAGACATTTTTTGAGGTGGGGTGTTAAAAACTGACAAGCCAATTTCAAAATGTTTATGGAAACCTAAAAGCCCAAGAATAGTGAAGACAATATTTTAAAGAACAAAGTTGAGCTAGGATTTATACTATCAGGTATACAAACTTAGTACAGAGTTAGTACATTTAAAACAGTATAGTACTGTGCAAGGAGTGATAAATAGACTGATGAAACAGAAAGCTCAGAAACAAACCCACTTACATATGGTCACTTTACAACAAGTTGACACTGCAATGCAGTGAAGAAAATATGATGGTGTTTTAAATACCTGATGCTAGATTGATTGGTATAATTAAAGGAGAAAAAAGAACCTTAACTTCTAATTCACATATATAAAGATATGATTTTTACACCCAACTGTGAAATTTAACACAGTAAATCTTCTAGAAGATACCACTAAAAAAATGTTGTGGCCTTGAGATAAGCAAATATTTTAAAAACACGAAAAAAAATTCATCACAAAGGAAAAGATAGAAAATTGGACTTCATTAACATTTTTAAAAATCTGTTCATCAAAATCTCCATTAGCAGAATGAACACTCCAGCCACATAATAAATAGGAATATTTGAAATACAGATACGTTATAAAGAACTAAAATCCATGGTATGCACAAAATTTGTATTGTCATAAAAAAGACAGTAGATACTATAGAAATATTAGTGAAATATTTAAACAAAATGAATATATCCTATTGACTATAAGCATATTGAAAGGTGTTCAACCTCACTAATCATAAGGAAAATACAAATTATAGCCTCAGTCAGAGGCCATTTCATACTCAAACTGCAAAATTTTAAAAATTGATAATACCAACTGTTGATGAAGGTGTGGAGCAACAGCAACTCTATCATACATTGCTAGTACAAGTGTAAATTACATCAACTACTTTAGAAAAGTGTTTTGTAGTATCTACTAAAGCCAAAGATATGCATTTCATAGTCCTGCAATTCCAAACAAAGTATAAACCTAACAAAAATGAGAACAAAAGACGTATAAGAATGTTCACAGCAGCATTAGCACATTAGTTCGAAACTAGAAATAAATGTTATCAACATTTAATGGTAGAATAAATATCAACGAAAGAATGAATGAAAATATTTTATATTGATGCAGTGCAGAAATAAAAATGAAAAAATTGCTGCTGTAGGCAACAACATGAAGGAATCACAATAAAATATTGAGAGAAGGAAGTCAGACACAGAAGAGTACATGTAATCTCACTGTATGCATGTAAATTACAAACAGACAAAAATTAATTTATCATGTGTCTTAGCCTGTCTGCTGCTGCTATAACAGAATACCACAGACTAGGTAATTTATAAACAATAGAAGTTTATTCGGCTCAACTGGGAATTCCAAGAGCATGGTGCCAACATCTGGCAATGCATTTTGTGCTATGTCATCCCACGGAGGAAGGCAGCAGGGGAAGTGAACACGAGACAGGAAGAGGATGAAGTTCAAAAATCATTCTTTTTATCAAGAACTTACTCTTATGATAACTAACCCATTCCCACAACAACAGCATTAACCCATTCATGAGGGCAGAGCTTATGACCTAATCACCTCTTAAAGGTCTGACATCTGTTTCACTGTTTCAATGGCACTTAAATTTCAACATTAATTTTGGAAGTGACATTCAAATGATAGCATTCCTTCCATGGCCCCCCAAAACCCATGTCCTTCTCACATAGAAAAGACTCTCATTCTATACCAGTAGCCCCAGTGTCAACTAGTTCCAGCATCAACTCAAAAGTCCAAAATCCAGAGTCTCATCTGAATCAGACATAAGTGAGACTGAAGGATCAATTAATCCTGAGGCAAACTACTCTCCAGCTGTGAGACTGTGAAATTAACAATTTAAGTGCTTCCAAATCCAGTCGTGAAACAGGTGCAGGACAGACAACTCCATTCCAAAAGGGAGAAATAAGCAAGAAGAAAGGGTAATTGATTCCAACAAAGTCCAAAACTCCACAGGGAACACCACTATCTTAACACTCCAGAATAATTTCCTTTGACTTCATGTCCTACATCCTGGGCACACCGTTACTGCCGTTGGGCCTCCAAGACCTCAGGCAGTCATGTCCCTGTGGCTTTTCTGGGCTCAGCCCATGTTTCAGCTCTCTCCATTGGAGTCTAGTGCCTGCAGCTCTCTCAGGTTGGCATTGCACACTTGTTGCTCTACAGTTCTGAGGTCTTAGTGATGGCCCCACTCCCACAGCTCTATTAGGAATTGCCTTAGTGGAAACTCTCTGTGGTGACTCCTACCTCACATTTCCACTCAGCATTGCCCTAGTAGGGTAGGAGGTCTCTGCAGTGGCTCCATCTCTATAAGAAGACTCTCTGGGCCCCTAGGCTGTCCACAGCATCCTTTGAAATATAGGGTGAAAGTAGCCATGCCTGCACAGGTCTTGCATTCTGCATTACTGCAGAATTAGCACCACATGGACACCACCAATATTTATAGCTTGTAACCTCCAGAGTAGTGGGTTGAAGTATACCTGGGCCTGCTTGAGCCATGGCTGGGGGTGCCTAAGGGGCATGGTGCTGGGATGCAGGAAGAAGAATCCTGAGGCAGCCTTGGGTAGTGAGTCCACAGAGGGTGCCCCAAGCCCATTCTCCCAAAACATTCTGCCCTCCTAGAGCTCTGGACCTGTGATGGGAGAGATGGCCTCCAAGATCTAAATGCCTTTGGAGTCTTTCTCCCATGGTTCTGATGAACAGTGCCTAGCTCCCTTCTATCCATATGATTCTCTTTAGCAAACTATTACTTGGCCATACTCTTAGTATTTTCTCTCAAACATGCCTTTTTACTTTTCACGTGTCCAGAATGCAGATTTTCCAAATCTTTTTATTCTGCTTCTCTTTCAATTATAAGTTTCATCACTAAGTCATTTATTTTCTCTCACATTTCATTGCATGTGTTCACAAGTAGCCACACAGTAGCCAGAGTGCTTTGCTCCTTAGATATTTCTTCCACCAGATATCCTAGTTCATTACTCTTAAGTTCTGCATTTCATGAAGTCCAAAGACATGGACACAATTCTGCCAAGTTCTTTGCAACTGTATGACAAGAATACCTTTACTCCAATTTCCAGTATCTTCTTCCTCATTCCCAACTGAGACCACATTGGAATGGTTTCTCTGTCAATATTTCTACCAACATTCTGGTCATGACCACTTAAGTAACCTCTAAGAAGTTTCAGACTCTTCCTACAGTTCTTCTCTTCTTGTAAGCCCTCACCAGAATTGCCCTTAAAGCTCCACTCACCAGAAATCTAGCCTATTTCTAGCTTGCTCCTCCAAATTCTCCCAGCCTCTATCCACTTTCCAGTTGCAAAGCCACTTCCACATTTTCAGGTTTACCTTTTGTTTTGTTTTCTTAATGGCAACAATCTTATTCTCAGTACTGATTTTCTGTTTTTAGTCCATTTTCAGCTGCTGTAAGAGAATATCAAAGACTAACTAATGTATAAACAATAGAAGTTTATTTGGCTCACAGTTATGGAGGCTGAGGGGTTCAAGAGCATGGCACCTAATTCTGGCAAAGGCCTTCATGCTGCATCATTCCATGGTGGAAAGCAGAAGGGCAAGCAAGTACATGAGTCAGAGAGGATGAAGGCCAGACTTCTTCCTTTTATCATGAAATTACTCTCAAGAAAACTAACCTACCCCTGCAATAACAGCATAAATCCATTCATGAGGACAGAGCCTTTATGACCTAATCATCTCTTAAAGGTCCCATCTCTCAACACTATTACAATGGCAATTAAATTTCAGCATGAATTTTGGAGGGGACATTCAAGCCATAGCATGATGATAGAAGTAAAAATATCATTTCCTTGAGACGTTTAATGACTGAATGGAGGCATGAGCAAGGTTTTAAGTGTGCTGATGTCTTGACCTAAGTAGCTACTTTTGTGAAGGCTAAAGCAACTCCATCTTGGATACTAATCCATCATGTTGACTTCTGATTAACACTGGTTTGGAGAAGCCCTCTAAGATTTCTGCTATATCTACTCTTCCTTGTGTAAGAGCATGTACTTACTGTGAATCCTGCCCTTGGGTAAAGACAACTTTGATGTTATCATACTTACAATTAATCCTACCTTTAAGCAACTGTCCTATACACCCCTTCTGAAGCACATATATTCTTTCCTTGGGTCTGGGCCACAATAGCATGCAGACTCACCATCCTGTTTTGCTGCTCCCTAAGAAACAGACATGGCTTCTGATTGTAAATGCCCATTATATGTTTATATGTTTCTTTCTGAGGAACTGTATATGTCAGCCACATTATTTGTCCTCTCAGCTTCCTTGGACTTTTACAAGTAGGTTGGCATAGGTCTGCCTACAATGGGACAACTTTGTAAAACTTTATTGCATTGTAAAAATAAGGTTTTTGAAGTTTTAATATTACACGTGAATATTAAAAATAATATCAACAATAATAAATATGACTATCATTTTTTGATCACGTTCTAAGTTAAGAACAGAGTGCTTTTTAAGTGATTGTTTTATTTAATTTTTTTAGCATGTTATTTTTTTAATTATTATTATACTTTAAGTTTTAGGGTACATGTGCACAATGTGCAGGTTAGTTACATATGTATACATGTGCCATGCTTGTGTGTTTCATGAGGATATTGTATTCATTATACTACTAAGAAATTGATTCTAGAAAAGTTAAACAATTTGCTTGTCAGCGGTAGAGCTGGGAATAAAACCCAGGTCTACAGGCATCAGAGGGCATACGTTAAATCATTCCATAATACCATTCCCAAATGCTATGTGCTATTGCACCCACTGAAGGAAAGAGCTGTCCTTTGAAGATGTGTTTTAGAAGAGAAGTTGCAAATGAGAAATATGATAAAACATTTAGGCTAGAATGACGAAGTACCACATAAGATATAATTATGAGATCAAGTTACGAAAGAAACTAGGGAATGTTGGCAGAATTACTGCTAATTATAGATTCTTATGAACTGAAGTTTGAAAAAGTGAGCCATTGGTTATCTAAAATATCAACTGATCACTTATGCCATCCAAAACAGTTTACTGAGTCACAACAAACAGCTATTCCGAGAGGTTAAAAAAAAAGACAATTAATGGTCAATGAGTGCTAATGCAACATTCACGGAAAGCACAAAGGTAGAGTTTGGTGGGTTCTTTCAAGTTCTTAGAACACTCACTTATTTCCCATATGCTCCAGGAAATACCCAGAGTTTTGAGTGGTTTTAAAGTGGATGGTGGGAAAGGCAAGAATTATAGATATATCTTGCAAATCTTAGAATGCCTAGCCTACAACCATAAAAATCATTCTGACTTAGTAAAATTATAAAAGAATTTTTCTGATTTATAAACTTTAAATGAACTATGTATCAATGCATTCCAAACTTTCTTCATAAGTACCTCCAATGGGAAAAGAGAGTGAAAGCCACCCCCTTAAGGTTCTGAATGAATAATTCAAGTTAACTGAAACAACTTACAGGTAAAACTTAGAGATGTTTCTTTGAAGTTGTAGTTTTATCTTGAAATTTTATGCTTATTTTTCAGTCTACTTCGTAATATACCTATGTATGACTTAATATGAAATAATGTTTTACATTACTTAAAACAGAATAGAATTGATAGTCTAAGAAGCTGTGCCAACCTCTGGAGTACATACATATCTCCAAGATATATGCCCATGGAACTTGAGAAGCACAGCTACAAGGAAAAGCCTTTATAACTATTAACTGTGAAAGGCGTCACTGTTCCTATTATTTTTTTCATAAGCCTACTGCTTTGGTAAGGAAATTAGCTAGGATGCCAATATGCAGCTGCCTTTTCTCTGGGGTATCTGCTCTAATGGGTAGTTGCAGTGTGGTGAGGCCTGGCTGCTTGCATCAGGGCCAGGCCAGGCTGGGGATTCAGTTCTCCTTCCCTTCCTGGGGATTAGCACCAGCCCCCTGTGTTTACCTTACCGGCTGTTGCCTGAGAGTATGGGCTTCTCCCCTTTAGAAACCTTAGTGTGTCTCAACAAATCACTGAATATAGGGTTTCTATCAAAGCCAAAATGTCAGACATTGATTGAGAATTTAAGTGCATGTGTACCTGCCATGAGTTATTTACCTGCCTGCTGATCAATTTAAATATAAATTTTATTATAAGAAAGAGATAAACTAATTAAAAATCAGCTCACACTTGAATCAATAATCCTTCCAAAAATGTTTCATGGAATAAGAACTAGGTGCCCAACGAATCAATTAGATGTAGATTTAGGGTCTTTCTTCTACTCCAAGGCCAGGGAAAACAAGAAATTGTTTAGCAGTATAAAATGGATAATGGCTTGTAAATTAGGGGCATTCAAAGTCCTTTATCTACCAGAAGAAAACATCTTAAAACCTGGTGAGTCTGTTATGGCTTCCTCTCCACACTCCAAATAGTCCACAGCCAAAAACGAAAAAAAGTGCTACAGCAGAAAAATCCATGCAGAAGACAGTTTAGAATTTAGGATTAAGATTGACATCAGTGGGTCCTGGTTCAAATTCCAACTCTATCATGTATTGGCTGTTTGAATTCTAGGAAATAAACTAATTTTCCAGAATCTCAGTTTTCTCATTTGTAAGATGAAGAATATAATACCTACCTTACGAGATTATTGTAGGTTATTGTAAGGATCAAATACGATAGTATATGTAAAATGCTCGGGGTAATGTATTTGTGTATGAAAAGTGGGAAATATAGTTAGGGTTGTGTTATGAGCACAAGTGCAGGAGACTGACCAGGATTTAACTCAAAGCTCTTCAGCTTACTACATGTGTGATCTTAGGCGTGTTTCTTAAACTTTCTGAGCCTTGGTTTTCTTATCTCAAAAATACAGATGCTAAAACTTACACTATTAGATCAATGGGTAACATAGTGCTGACATACCGTAAGCACTTAGTAAATGGTAGCCACTTGTATTACTTTCTGACTTTATTTTTTCAAGTTTTATGAATCTACATGCTTATTAATGAAATGTCACTGGTGAGCCATATTTATTCTGCTATTAGCATACCTTAATTATTACTGGATCATAAAATACATGTGTTTATACTTAGTAATGAGTAACAATGTGGGCAGGAGTATCTACTATGTCAGTGTAATAGCAAATACTGGGAAATTGTATGGGGGCAAGATTCAATGCAAAGTGCTTTGAGGAGATGGTAAGGAAAATGCAAAGTTAAATACGTGCCCGGTGCCTGCCTCCACGGAGCTAACGCTGCATTGCATGAAATAAAGCATGGCTGTTTATAAGTTAGAGGGAGAGCTAAGTATAGTGAGTGGTCGAACAGAAGATAGAACGGTAAATTTTATCTGATTTAGAGAATAAAAGACAATCTAATGTGGAATGATATTTAAGTGGAGCGCTGAAAGCTCAGCAGAATTCAGAGGACAGTGGAAACTGGAGAATGCATTCTAGATGGAGAAGACAATGTGAGAAAAAGCACAAAGCAAGAAACCACAAGATGTGTTTGTAAAATGGTGAATTTTGCTCCCTCTAAAAATTGTGGTCTGAAACCTTCACGGGATCCCAGTTTTGTTTTGCTGGAGCCCAAAGTGGTGTGTGTTTTTACCTGTATTTATGTGAGGGTTGAAGTTGGAAAAGTAAATTGTGGGCAAACAAAGGAGGGTTTACCAATGTGCTAAGGGATTTTAGGTTTTTAAAAATATAGTCAATAGAGAGTTTTTGAAGATTGTTTTAAGCAAATGAATGGAAAAATGGCTTTCAGTTAAACATGACAAAATATTTACAGAATATATACTATGTACGAGGAACTATGCTAGATGCTGGGGCTATAAAGATAAATGAGACCTGAGTTTTTTTTTCACTGAGCATGTAGTGTAATAACAGAGGCAGACATATAAATAACAACTGCAGTAGTAGAAGTGTGTACAAACTTCACTGATTAAAAAAAGCTACAAACTCTATTTGGAGTATGTGCATGGTGGGGGAGGAGAATTTCACACATAAAGAAGTGCTCTTTAGGCTAATAAGGTAAGGGAGGGCATACTAGGGAGAAGGAGGAAAATGCAAAATAATTTAAGTAGGAAGCAACAGATTGTGCCGTGAGAACAACCAGTGGTTCAATATTTCTGAAGCCCGAAGTATGTATGCATGTATATGTGTGTGTGTGCATGCACGTACGTACACAGATGTGATGTGTACTCACATGTGCATTGGGGAGGTTTAGCAAAGGCGAGATAGAGACAACATCAAGAGAAAATTCATACTATGAAACTAAATTATGATACATAAAATGGATTATAAAATTATAAAATTTTAACTTCATAAGCAGCATAGCATCTTGGTTAAGAGCATGGCGTCTGGAGTCAGACTGCTCGGGCTGATATTCCCAGCTATACCATTTATTAATTATATGCCCTTAAACAAGTCATTCAACCTTTATTTACCTCAATTCTCAGCTGTAAGATGGAGGTAATAATACTACATGCATGCTCATTTCATGACATAAATATATTTTGAGAAATGCATCATTAGGTGATTTTGTCATGTGAACATCATAGAGTATACATACACAAACCTAGGTGGTATAGTTTATTCTATCATATAGCTCCATTACAACCTTATGGGACCACTATGATATATGCAGCCCATCATTGATTAAAATGTTATTATGTGTAGCATGACTACATTTTTTTCATAAAGTTCATATTAAGATTAAGGCATTAGTATTTTTATTTTTTATTTTATTTTATTTATATTTTTATATAATATTTATTATATAAATATATCTTTATAAATATATTATATATTTATAAATATTTTTATGTAATATTTATAAATAAAAATATAAATATTTTATTTATATTTATTTTATTTATTTTTTAATTATACTTTAAGTTTTAGGGTACATGTGCACAATGTGCATGTTTGTTACATATGTATACATTTGCCATGCTGGTGTGCTGCACCCATTAGGTTGTCATTTAACATTAGGTATATCTCCTAATGCTATCCCTCCCACCTCCCACCACCACAACAGGCCCAGGAGTGTGATGTTCCCCTTCCTGTGTCCATGTGTTCTCATTGCTGAATTCCCACCTATGAGTGAGAACATGCGGTGTTTGGCTTTTGTCCTTGTGATAGTTTGCTGAGAATGATGGTTTCCAGCTTCATCCATGTCCCTGCAAAGAGCATGAACTCATCATTTTTTATGGCCTCATAGTATTCCATGGTGTATATGTGCCACATTTTCTTAATCCAGTCTATCATTGTTGGACATTTGGGTTGGTTCCAAGTCTTTGCTATTGTGAATAGTGCTGCAATAAACATACGTGTGCATGTGTCTTTATAGCAGCATGATTTATAATCCTTTGGGTATATACCCAGTAATGGGATGGCTGGGTCAAATGGTATTTCTAGTTCTAGATCCCTGAGGAATCGCCACACTGACTTCCACAATGGTTGAACTAGTTTACAGTCCCACCAACAGTGTAAAAGTGTTCCTATTTCTCCACATCCTCTCCAGCACCTGTTGTTTCCTGACTTTTTAATGATCGCCATTCTAACTGGTGTGAGATGGTATCTCATTGTGGTTTTGATTTGCATTTCTCTGATGGCCAGTGATAATGAGCATTTTTTCATGTGTCTTTTGGCTGCATAAATGTTTTCTTTTGAGAAGTATCTGTTCATATCCTTTGCCAACTTCTTGATGGGGTTGTTTGTTTTTTTCTTGTAAATTTGTTTGAGTTCATTGTAGATTATGGATATTAGCCCTTTGTCAGATGAGTAGATTGCAAAAATTTTCTCCCATTCTGTAGGTTGACTGTTCACTCTGATGGTAGTTTCCTTTGCTGTGCAGAAGCTCTTTAGTTTAGTTAGATTCCATTTGTCAATTTTTGCTTTTGTTGCCATTGCTTTTGGTGTTTTAGACATGAAGTCCTTGCCCATGCCTGTGTCCTGAATGGTATTGCCTAGGTTTTCTTCTAGGGTTTTTATGGCTTTAGGTCTAACATTTAAGTCTTTAATCCATCTTGAATTAATTTTAGTATAAGGTGTAAGTAAGGGATCCAGTTTCAGTTTTCTACATATGGCTAGCCAGTTTTCCCAACACCATTGATTAAATAGGGAATCCTTTCCTCATTTCTTGTTTTTGTCAGGTTCGTCAAAAATCAGATAGTTGTAGATATGTGGCATTATTTCCGAGGGCTCCGTTCTGTTCCATTTGTCTATATCTCTGTTTTCATACCAGTACCATGCTGTTTTGGTTACTGTAGCCTTGTAGTATAGTTTGAAGTCAGGTAGCATGATGCCTCCAGCTTTGTTCTTTTGGCTTAGGATTGACTTGGCAATGCAGACTCTTTTTTGGTTCCATGTGAACTTTAAAGTAGTTTTTTCCAATTCTGTGAAGAAAGTCATTGGTAGCTTGATGGCGATGCCATTGAATCTATAAATTACCTTGGGCAGTATGGCCATTTTCATGATATTGATTCATATCCATTAGCATGGAATGTTCTTCCATTTGTTAATACCCTCTTTTATTTCATTGAGCAGTGGTTTGTAGTTCTCCTTGAAGAGGTCCTTCACATCCCTTGTAAGTTGGATTCTTAGGTATTTTATTCTCTTTGAAGCAATTGTGAATGGGAGTTCACTCATGATTTGGCTCTCTGTTTGTCTGTTATTGGTGTATAAGAATGCTTGTGAATTTTGCACATTGATTTTGTATCCTGAGACTTTGCTGAAGTTGCTTATCAGCTTAAGGAGATTTTGGGCTGAGATGATGGGGCTTTCTAAATATACAATCATGTCATCTTCAAACAGGGAAAATTTGACTTCCTCTTTTCCTAATTGAATACCCTTTATTTCTTTCTCCTGCCTGATTGCCCTGGCCAGAACTTCCAACACTACATTGAATAGGAGTGGTGAGAGAGGGCATCTCTGTCTTGTGCCAGTTTTCAAAGGGAATGCTTCCAGTTTTTGCCCATTCAGTATGATATTGGCTGTGGGTTTGTCATAAATAGCTCTTATTATTTTGAGATACGTCCCATCAATACCTAATTTATTGAGAGTTTTTAGCATGAAGGGCTGTGGAATTTTGTCAAAGGCCTTTTCTGCATCTATTGAGATAATCACGTGGTTTTTGTCTGTGGTTCTGTTTATATGCTGGATTACGTTTATTGATTTGCGTATGTTGAACCAGCCTTGCATCCCAGGGATGAAGCCCACTTGATCATGGTGGATAAGCTTTTTGATGTACTGTTGGATTTGGTTTGCCAGTATTTTATTGAGGATTTCATCAGGGAAATTGGTCTAAAATTCTCTTTTTTTGTTGTGTCTCTGCCCGGCTTTGGTATCAGGATGATGCTGGCCTCATAAAATGAGTTAGGGAGGATTCCCTCTTTTTCTATTGATTGGAATAGTTTCAGAAGGAATGGTACCAGCTCCTCCTTGTACCTCTGGTAGAATTCGGCTGTGAATCCGTCTGGTCCCGGACTTTTTTTGTTGGTAAGCTATTAATTATTGCCTCAATTTCAGAGCCTGTTATTGGTCTATTCAGAGATTCAACTTCTTCCTGGTTTAGTCTTGGGACAGTGCGTGTGTCGAGGAATTTATCCATTTCTTCCAGATTTTCTAGTTTATTTGCATAGAGGTGTTTATAGTATTCTCTGATGGTAGTTTGTATTTCTGTGGGATCAGTGGTGATATCCCCTTTATCATTTTTTATTGCGTCTATTTGATTCTTCTCTCTTTTCTTCTTTATTAGTCTTGCTAGAGGTCTATCACCTTTCAAAAAGGTGTTACTATTTTTAAATCACTATTTGTTAGATAAAAAAGCTAGATAACTCATATTTGAATATAGAAGGTCTACTAGGTTGTTAGGATCAGTGATTTGACTGTGGTTTAATCAGTAACATTGACCTATCTACCAACAAAATTATGGACAGAAGAGGGATGGTCACGTAAATCGAGAGTAGCAGTGAGGAAGGGGCTTCATTGGTTGTTGAAGCTGGCAGAATCCCAGTAAAGGGAGGAGCCATGAGGCCACAGACCTCAGATGTCTGTGTTCAGATGTATTAGAAACTTCTCTTGACTTTTACCTCCTTAAATGTATCTCTAGGTTAGAAAAACCCTGTTGGGAAAACAAATCAACAAAAATAAATGCTGTGGAGGAATATTTCTAGAGACTGTGAGAATCACTCAATTGAGATTACCAGGCAGAGGGAAGGTAGAAGCCAGTCTGCCTTAGGAGGTAGCAGCAACAATAGCTCCAGCAAGGCCAGTTGCAGATAATGGCTCCAGAAGTGACAATGCTGAGTGAGAGCCACTCAGCTCCTGCGAAAGAATAGAGTTGGCAGTTTGAGGAATATCAGCTCTGAGGGAACCTTTGGACTCCTATGGAGTGATGATTATAACTTCTCATGTTTCTTAAATCCAAGGATTTGCACAAACTCTTGTTCCTTTAGCCCTCCTAACATTTTTTTTAAATCTAAAATTCTGGAATTCTCTCTCTTATTTCAGAAACAGAAAAATAACCTAAAAATGAAGCCTGGATTACATTTCTGCCTCCTTTAGTGAGCCGAGATTGCGCCACTGCACTCCAGTCTGGGTGACAGAGCAAGACTCCATCTCAAAAAAAAAAAAAAAAAAAAAAAAAAAAAATTTCTGCCTCCTTTAAAAACCTTGAGTGGTTTCTGTGTAATGTGATACTCTCTCTAGGACCAAGATATCTAGACTTTGAGTAGCCAGACTTTTGGTGTTTTTTTATTCCACTGTCTTCAGCAGGGTCAATGATGAAAGACTTCTTGAGATGCTGAATAGCTACTACACTGGGGATACAAAGACTTTTATGTAGGTTATAGAATTACAACATAAGTTGAATTCAGCTTTTCGATGTCTCTGATATTAAATCAATGACTGTAAAGGAGTGAGACCGTGAGAATGAGAATTATATTCAGGTGGATTTGATGGATTAGAGAACTTTGAACTCCCATAGAATCAGAGCCTCCCTTGACTGTAAGAGCAACCCTTTCTTCTCTATTTGAGGAAATTAGTCATCTCTTGCTTGAAGAGCATCAATGACCTTATCTAACGATGCCCATTTTCCTCAATTGTCATCCCACTAGCCTTCATTTCCATTTAATTAGCATCAGATACCTCAGATAGTCCCAGCACAACAAATATAAAGTCTCAGCATTGAGGAGATAATCTAGCCACTAAAAATTTTGCAAGATTTTGACAATTTGTATCAGCAAAGACTAAGAAACTTACATAGGATTGTACCAGAACAAGGAGGATGAAATCACCTTACACTGAGATGAATTTATTGATATGGCTACACTTACCTGACACTTATTGTCTGAATTCTGTCCTTCCTGCCCAAATTTATATATTGAAGCCCCAACCCCAGAACCTTAGAATGTATCCATATTTGGATAATAGGATCCTAGAATAGAAGAGGCCTGTTGATAGTACTTAAAACACATATACAAACTGGGGTATAGTTAACAAAATGGCAGCAAAACCAGAGAGCAATTACAATGTTTCACCTGCAAGGAGTTTTGGTAGTGGCTAAGAAAGCATGGTGTTCCTAGGAAGGAAAGGTCTCAAGAGCCTACTGAAATATTACTTGATCTAAATAACATCAAAATAAAACTTTAGCTCTGGTGCTCAGAACTCTGACTTGAGTTGTCACAGTGGTTTTTATCTAGTCTCAATACCTAAAATAACACAGATCCAGAGCCACTTTATTGAAGGGAAAATCAAATTGCTTTGAAATACTGTCACAAGTAATACTGTAAATCTTCATCTTTGCTAAAGAAATTGAAGAAATAGAGGGAAACACCTAGACCTTTTGAGGATTACTAAACAAGGGCTCTGATGTGACATTAATCCCCAGAGACCTAAAATAACACAGTGGTTCAATAGTCCAAACAGGGGCTTATAGAGGTCAGGTGTTAAACTGAATTTGGGCCTAAGACCTTCTCAAAGATAGCCCCAGTGATTATGCAGACAATCAGTTCCTGAAAGTACGGTTGAAATAGACATTTTTGGCAACCTGTAAAATCCCCACATTGGCTTCCTGACCTGTTCAGTGAGGTTTATTATTATGAAAGACCAAGTAGAAGCTACTGAAATGTCAATACCTACCAAAATAGAAAATCAAATGTAATACTGCATCTCTGGGGTCATTTCAGGAAGTAGTGCCACTATCAGAGATTTGAAAGATGCAAGGTAGTGATTCCTGTAACATCTTCAGTTAATTTACTTTTTGACTTATTAAAAAGTTCTATGGGTCCTGGAGAATGACTGCATTATCCTAAACCTAACCAGGTGTTTACTCCAATTGCAGCTTCTGTTCCAGATTGAGCTCTTAATTGGAGCAAATCAACACAGCCACTGGCATGTGGTACAGTTATTGGGCTGAAAAATGCTCTTCTAACACTGTTTAGTGATGACTAGAAGAAAGAGTTTGATATCATCTGACAGTGACAACTGTATGCCTCAGAGTGTTGTCTCAGACATATGTCAGCTCTTTGACTCTTTGTCATGATCTATATCATGCGCATGTTGACCATTTTGCCTTTACAAAAACACCCACTGGTCCCCTGCATTGACAACATTCTCCTAATTTAGACTTCATTGCAAGAAATGTCTTAAATGACTTGGCAAAACACAAAATTCCCAGTGTGGAAGACATATTTGTGAAAATTCTGGGAATTTAGTAAAGTTTGTTTTAATATAGTAATCTGAGACATGAACAAATTGGAAAAAGAATTTCATTCTTAGTGGTACAATCTACCACTAACAAAAAGGCATAATGTTTTACAAACAACATATACTCTATTGATGGGAGCTTCTCTTATCCAATTACTAAATAACCCGTAAGCTTAATAGTTTTAAGAGGTGCCTAAGCAAGATAAAATTTGCAACAGATCTGTTATGCAATGCAAGCTTCTCTCCACTTGGTCCAAATGATCAAGATGGGACTTATCTGACCCATCAGCTCAGTGAGTATACCAGTATATCATCACTAAGTGGAAGTAGATATACAAAATTGGCCATGAATAGGTTTTGAAGGCATAATGGAATGTGATCTTGGACTACTATGAAAACTATATCGTTTACTTTCTTTCAACCGACTTCTAAGACTTCATAGAACAAGTTTGCAAACTTTTTCTGTAAAGGGCTAGATAAATAAATATTTTAGGCTTGTGGACTTATGGTCTTGATCATACCTATTCAATTTTGCCATTATAGTGTGTAAGCAGTCATAGACAATATGTAAACAAATGAATATGACTGTGGTTTCCTAAAACTTTATTTATAAAAACAGGCAGAGGGCTAGATTTGGCCCATGGACCATAGTGTACCAACCCCTATCACAGAAAGTTTCTTACATCTAGTTGAGTGAAAGAGAAAAATATTGGTCTGGGCTTACTAATCATTCTCCACAATATGCTGGCACTAGCCAGAAGAGAACTATTGCAACATTAAAGTTCTACTTAAGGAAATTCCTGAAAGATAAAGAGTAAGGAATTCTCTCAAAGGGATTAAAGAAAGTACATCAGAAATTAAAGCAGTACATCTTACTGACACTTTAATTGAGAGATGATGAATCTACAATGAATGGATCTACACTGAATGTATTTACATTGATTCATGGAGCATGGCTAATGGTTTGGCCAAATGGTCAGAACTTGGAGAGAAAAAGGTTGGTGAATTGTTATTAAAAAGATGTACAGATGAGGTATATGGGTGGTCATGTTAAGACAGGCACAGATTATGATGATATTTGTGCCTCATGTGAATAACAAAGGGTGTTCAGAGCAGAAAAATATCTCAATATTCAGGGAGAAAAGAAAAACCTTTTGGTTGTAGTCAGTCAGGTTCAGTCAATCACTTTTCTTCAACTGCTGTATAGAATGGAATTATGTCTTACAAAAAGTTATTACTGAATCCTAGGACCTGGTACATGTAAATATAACTTTAATTGGAAATAGAGTCTTTGTAGATGCAATTAATTTAAGAAGGTCTAGATAATATCATCCTACATTTAGTGGTGGTCTCTAATTTCAATAATTTGTATACTTTAAAGAGAAAGAAGAGGGAGATTTGTGATACGAATTCACACGGGGAAGAAGGTCATTTAAGATGGAGGCAAAGATTGAAGTTATGCCAAGGAGTGCCAAGGGTTTCTGGCAGTCTCCAAAATCCAGGGATGAGGGGTGGAACAGACTTTTCCTTAAGGCCCTCCAGTAGGAACCAACCATACCAACACCATGATTTCAGACTTCTGGCCTCCATAACTATAAAAGGAAAACTATGTTGATTTAAGCTACTCAGTTTGGGATAATTTGTTATGGCAGCCCTAGGAAACCTAACACATGGTACTTGCTCAATGGCCAGGTGGATGTGGCATCAGAGGTTGAAGACTATGTATGTGCTCCACCACCAAGGCACTGGTAGCAGAATAATTACATCAGAGCCTCTCTCTCATGAAGTGAGTAGTGGTTAATCCTAACTGGTCAGACACTTTTTCTTGATACGAATATGGCTTCCATACTTGCAATGCTTCCATATGTGGACTCATAAAATGTCTGATTTACAGTATAATACGCTAAAAAACATTGCTCCTGACAAAATAACTAATTTTACAGAAAAAGAAGCATAGCAATGGCTTAAAACTATAGGATTCATTGTTTCTCAATTACCATGTTGCAGCTGGCCTTATCAGATGTAGAAATGGCCCATTAATTGACTACAGTGTCATGTCGGAGGCAACACCTTGTGAGGTTGGGGTGGTGTCCTATAAGATCAGCAATATGTTTTGAAACATGGTGTTGTTTCTTCCATGGCCATATTTTATAAATAGAATTTTAAAAAGAGAGTCGAGGAAGTGGGTAGAAGAACTGAAGTTGACTAAGATTCTGTGAGGAGGAGTAGTCTATACTGGAAATAGTCAAATTTGATTTCAGTGCATTAGGTCCAGAAAATTTCATAGAAACTCTTGTCTTAAAAGAAAAATAATCTTCCTAAATAGGAAGATATAGGTGGATAGCCAATGTAATTAAGAGAAAACACTTTCCAAATAAAAATAGCATAATGCAGAACAGGAGTACTATTCTACCTAGCAGTTGTGAATCCCTCTTAATATGAATTTGGAGCTATTCTAATATTAATAGTTGTGTAAAAGTAACTGTTCTGTTTTTGATTAAGTGATGAGTGCTTGGTAAAATGCTGCATGATTAATCATATGTGCCAGATGATGGCTTTTCAGTATTTCTACCCCTACCCTAGTACTACTAGCCTTTTTATAATTAAATTTTAATTGCTAACAGTTTTCTATTACCTTCTCTTGATATTCTTATTTTTTATAAGTCATCCACTGTTGTAATGGTGGAATTTGGGAAGTGTTATTTTCTTGTTTTATTGTTAATTTTTATTGAATATTCTATCCTTATTACTATAAGGATAGCTATCTCCATTCTTTAAGACAATGATAGCTCAGATAGAGAATAATGAAGCATACATATTATCAGCCATAAATATCACTTTTCAAAGTCATTGTGTTACATTGAATATCAAAGTGTTTCTAATCACATCTATATTTCTTAGCAATGTGATTAGACTATGCAGGCAAAAGATAATGATTTCTATAACATGCTTAGAATTGGGACATAATAAAACATTCGATTTGTAAACTTACAAAACCTAAACATTCTGGTATTATGTAGTAGAATTTCAAGCCAAAGAACAATGCCATTTTTAAAATAAATACACTGCATGCCATGCTGCCTTGTACAGTGATATCTCAATTAACAAATACCCTGGATAAAGAACTCTAATTGAGAATCATGCAATTGAGAAAAAAAACAATCAATCATGCTAAGTAGAGCTGCCTAAGATTTTACCCTTCTCACAAAAATCTTTCAGCGCCTACAGCTGTATTTCAGGACCCAACTGAAGGTAAGTAAATCAATTTTTTAAAAGCCAGTGTGACATTTGTATTAGACAATTCTCCTCTATAATTTTCTGCATTTTTCTCTCTGCAATTCCTAGGGTAATATGCCCAGAAATTGAAGTGCCTAATGCCTTGTGCTTCTACCTATTAAAATTAAGAAAAGTCTGATAATTGGTAATCTACTTTTGGGTGTTTAGTGGTTCCCATAACTAAATCTCAAACTTGATCCATGGTTACCTTATTTAAGAAATACATTATTAGTTACCTTTTAATTCTGGTTTCCTCCAATTTCATTGAGAAGTAAAATCCTAGCACATTCTTTAGCCCCTAGGAGCAACCCTACTCAGTGTATGATCAGCGCTTTTTTACTCTTCTCATCCCTCTGCACTTAATAAATTGTCATAAAGACTATTCTATGATGATTCTAAAGTAGAAATTATTGCAGACCAGTGCCTTTTGACAAGAAGAAAATCATGACTTACCTCTTTATCTACCCTGATGCCTTGGTGCATGAGTATGGGAAGCTGGATAAGCAGGTGGGCATGAGTGGATAGCTGAGCAGATGTGTCATTCTGACAACCAGCTGAATCTTGAGAAGGGGTTTTAAATGGAGTTTTTCCATGTTCTAATGCATAAATAAGCTCTCAGTGCTTGCTTATTAAGCTCCAGGGCGGGCCCAATTCAGAAGCCTAAGAAAGCAGAGAAGCCTGTAGACAGTTATGGCAAGTCAAATTAGCAGGCATTTTTTCCAGATTGGTGAGTGGGGGTAAAAACTTTAGCTAATCATTTAGAAGACAAATAATGAACATTTGGAGGATCTGCATCTGGCTTTGTCATAGAAAAACAAGGAGGTCATCTGGGAGTCTTACATAAATCACATGAGAAAGGATGGTTCTTTGTAATAAGCAATTTCCTAAAATACAAAAGGATACAAGGATTTCTTAATCATTGCTGTTTTCTAGGAGCACAAAACTCAGGTAAAGTTCAACACTCTTAGTCTTTAATATCTCCTTTCAGTGAAAATGTAAAAAGTTGGAAAGAATGCTAGCCGTTGTTTAAATGGTCACTCTATTGTGCCGACAGAGCTTGGTTACAAGTGTCAAGTAAACCTATAGATCATCCACTCCCACAGTCAACTGAATTGCACCAGCTGCAGATGGTTAGAGAATTCCACTTTCAGGCAAAGTCATCAACATTTCAGGTGACACCTGGGTTATTCCAGCCATCGTATTTAAAAGGGAATAAAGGAAAAGTAAAACACCTTTCCACGTTCTATCTCATCAGGGTCTTGTAATTTCTTATTCAGTTAAACCAACTAATCAAATAAATAGAAAACAGCCTTCAATTTTGTCAGATGTTTTAAGTATAAAGTTAATAACATTTAGCTCTTAGTCTTGTAAAGATTTGAGATGGTATCCAATGATGGTTGTTTGAATAAGAGCAGAAAGCTTGTGGAAGAAATATCTTGTCATGTGGAGGTGACCTCAATTTTTAAATAATCCCAAGTAAGTGACTTTCTAATATTTATTAGTTTATTCATTCAGTTAACAAATATTTATTTGTGGGGCACCTAGCATGTGCCAGGTACTGAATAATGGCAACACAGAAATAAGTAGGAAGTTTTCCCTGCATGCCATAATTTCATAGTCTTGTAGGGAGGAATAACATTTAAAATTCGCTTGTAACCCAATGCAACAAGCACAAGTAGAGGTTAGTACAAGAGCTTACTGAAATGCAGGAGAAGATAGACAGCCCCATGAGTGGACTAGGGATATCCTCGCATAGAAGTGACCTTGAATGAAATGCTGAAAGATGAATGAGAATTAGCTAGACAGAATGGGTGGGGGGACTTTCCAAGAAGTAGAAATAGTAGTAAAGGCATGAAGACATTTAAACTATATTGTATTTGAAGACCCACTGGTTGTATAGGGCAGACAGAGAGTGGGTGTAGTGAAGAAATGGGTGACTATGTGGCTACAGGGTGA
This sequence comes from Homo sapiens, assembly GCF_000001405.40. Taxonomy (NCBI): domain Eukaryota; kingdom Metazoa; phylum Chordata; class Mammalia; order Primates; family Hominidae; genus Homo; species Homo sapiens. Next base: position 69,437,382 of record NC_000001.11, on the reverse strand, counting down.
AGCCACAGGTCTTATGGGATGACCACAGGAATCTTGCTTCAGACTTTCCTGGATTAAGTGATAAAATTCAGACTGATGGTCTTAATTGAGACTTAGCGTATGAGGCTGTTCATGGAGTAAGGATCTAAAATTTGCATTTTTTTGCAATATCCCTGGAAAGTGTGATACACTCTGCAGTTTGATGCTCACTGTTGTAGATGTTGGCAAATTTGGATGATAAGGTTCATATTTACTAAAATATATAGATTAAAGTTTACTCTGTAGGTATTTCAGAAACAGTGAAGGCATTTAAATTAGAGTTAGACATCACATTTTCTGTACAGGAAGAACACTGGCTGTGGTGTAAGTAATCAATGGGAATGTGGGGTGGGTGGAGGTATGACACAACCATAATAATAAAAATGAGTTAAGATATGATTGCCACAGTATAGGCAGGAGATGTTTTTGAGGGTTTAAACTAAAGTAGGGAGGAAAAAGATTTGGAAGGTATTTAAAAGGTATAATTGGCTAAATGCTGTGAACAACTGGATATGGAGGCTGAGCGGAGAAAGGAGCCTGGAATGACAATGAGTTTTTTTGTTTTGGTAACTTGCGTTTTATAAAAGCATGTGTGCATTAATGCACATATCTGTGTGTGTTGTTGAATGCTTTACACATATCTCCTTATTTAATCCTTTCAACAGCTATGAGGGAGGGAATATTTTTGTCTGTGTTTCATTTCTTTTCCATGAAACAGAGTCTTAGAAATGTTAGCGAAGTTGTCCTACATCCAGATTTTCTAGATTGCATGACAATTAAGTACCAGTGAAAAGATTCAAATTCAGGCAGGCTGAGTCCAGGCTCTGCACCCTTATCCACTTCACCCACCATTTCTCCATAGAAATAATTCAAACATGGCTCAGGAAGGGAGGATTGCAATTCCTCTACTCATTCAAACATCACTGAAGCCTTCACTAAGGAAGCCTGTGTTACTCTGGGTTCTATGCCAGATTATCAAACTAGTAATAACAATAGTCTGTTTCTCTGTGCATTCTGGTTTTCAGCTTGCTTCTGTACTAATTATACAGTTCACCTTTTTATGAGGTTAAGAACTGAGAATGAAAGCACTGGTCTTTCTTTGAATAGCATAGTACAAAATAAATTGCTCCATTTAGAATAACAATATTGGCCACTACTTCTGTCCCTATGAAAATGACATAACTGCTGTTCAGAGTAGATGATTTTTCATTTAATAAAATACTTCTTCATAGGTCTCCTTGGGAAGGGAAAGTGAGATGCTCCTTATCTCCCTGCACCTACTGTAGTGTAAAAGGAGATCATGAAACTAAAAGGAGATATGAAACTTACGTTCTGCATAAGAAACGAAGAGTGATTAGGAGTTGGGAAGAAAGGAAGGTGAAAACAGGGGAAGAGAAGGACAAGAGAAAGAAGTTCTCAGTGGTATGGGTGGCCAAATAAAAAGAAGTGTTGAATATCTAATCTTATCTTTGCCATATGATGTTGTTACGTATCCCTCACCCAGTCAGGCCAAACGTTTTGCGCTGATAGTGACTTTCAAGAGTGCTGTTATGAGTAAACAAAAGAAAGGAACTAGGTCCTATATTAAAAAAAGTCAGTTTTGATTAGATATACATAGTGACCAGGATCTCATAAACACCTAAGAACTTAAAAGACAAGACAAACACATTGAGTGGGCTTAGGAAATTTTCATACAATTTCTTAAAAGCCTGAAGCTTACATCCAGTGGGAAATCCAAAGCTTGTTCAATGTTTTTGTTGTTGTTGTTGTTCATTTGTTTGCTTTTCATTTTTAAGTTGAGTAGCATAAAGGAATGAAGGGAAGGGAGTAGGACAAAGAGAAAAAAAAGTGGATGAGAGTGAAGGTGTTTGGGAGCAGGGCAACTGAAAAGTGAGGGAGAGGCACAGGTATGAATGATTTGAGATTGTCCAAGGAAATCTGAGAAACATTGCAGGTATCATGAATTAATCTCTTCAAAGTCTTTATTAAGAGAACAGAAATAAGTGTGCAGGTTTAATTTCATTTTGCAAGCAGCAAAACCCTTCTAAGGTTTCTTCTGTTTTGAAGGAGCTGGGAATTTAGAAATCAAATTCTCTAGATTCTCTTGACTCTGTGGAATAGAATACAATTTATGTTCTAACAACAAGGTGCACTGGAGCATGATTTTGAAGGTGGAATGGAGACCAGAAGACATTATTTTTTCCTTTGGCAGTACTAGGCAAATGCCATGGGCTTCAGCAGATGTGAAATTTCTGCAGAGGTTTTGCTGTGATCATCAATAATAGTTTTCTGGAGTTCCTTGTCTTGGTTGGCAGACCCTTATTACCACCTGGTTTTCCACACTATTCCTGTAGTGGTGAACCTAAAAGATAGCAGAAGTTATCCCTGACCTTTGCATCTTTAGTTCTCTCAAAGATTTTGTAAGCAATTAATCCCCTATGTGAAATCTCTCTTTGTTAAAAAATACTTAGAGTGATTTCTGTGTCCTGACTGAGACTTGGATTTGGGACTGATGATGATAAACTTTATCTTGAGCCCTGTATGCCTAGAAAATAACAATAGTTATGAAAAGTTTCACTCTTTCGCCTCAACTGCTCTTGCCCTTGCATGTTCCAAGGTAAGACCTTACTCTATCCTTCCTCATGGCTCCCATAAGACTGTGATGGCTCCCTTGTTTACTGGCCTCTCCATACTTTACCATTGTCATAAATGGTCCTTCTTAGACACATAAAGAAGTTTCCTAACACCTCAAAAGTCATAGTGAGCTAAAATAACATCATAATTAAGTATTTTGAATTCTTAATTCATCATAATTAAGGATCCTCTAGGCTAGAATTTCTACTGTAATCTTCTATAGAAAAAGCTTATTATGCTAAAATTGCTTCTTGGCCATCAGATGGTTAAAATGGTTAACTCCAAGAGTAAGTGTGCAGATCATATTATTTTTTAAACTTTTATTGCTTGCAATTGTGTCCTATGGCAAGTAACTTATCTCTAAAATTTAGATCTTCTATAAAAGAAAAATAATTCATTAAAATTTGGGGTAACATATGACAAATGTAACACTCTTCTTTAAAAGGTATAATAATATATTTGTATATTAATATAAATTTTCTCTATGAACATGCTCATCTAATAAAAATTCAGATTTTTACCATAGAAAAAGTTACCTTTATAATCATAGCCTAAAACCCACACATTTTATCCGTTGCATTCATCATCTTGTCTTTGTTTTATAGATAATTCTCAAAATAAACAACAAAAGTCCATAGGAATTTGAGAGTAGTATAATATTAATGACGTTCTACATTTAAAGTTTAATCCTTTACTTCTTTTCTAAAAGAATTTATTCTATTATATTTCTATATTTTTATTGAATAAATCATTCTCCATATCCAATTCATAACAGCTAATTTTTCCCATCAATAATTTTAACTTCCTTTTGCATGTGCATAAATTATGGCTGATGTTCTAAACAGTTGGTGACAGGAAATGTGAAGCAAAGAATAGTGAGAAATTAAAAATCATAAGCATACTATACTATTAAACATCTCCAGGCTTCCTGGATGGTAAAGAAAATAAACGTATCATCAGTTAGAATAAGTAGGCTTACATTATTGTAACAAATAACTTTGATTCTCAGTCACTTACAATCCACAGTTTTATTTCTCATTCATGCTAAATGTCCATTTTAGGTTAGCAAAAAGCTCTCTTCATCATAGTGTGTCAGGGACCCAGAATGTGGGGTGGCATCATCTCAAATGCAGTAAGTCACCATGCCCAAGTGAAAGAAGGTCTCTTAAAATCTCATTAGGCTATTAAATTCTATGGCTTTGGATTGGCAGATGTCACTCTCACTCACACTCATTGAACAAGTCACAAAACTCCACACAATCCCAAATTGTGCCTGTGCCTGGAAGATAGATGGAATAAATCCAAAAATGTTTGGCACACAGTACCATTAATGAATACTACAGAAACTGAGGGAGGTGATTAATTCTACAAGGTTTTTATGCATGGCATTATTTGGATTACACAATTCTTTTAGGTTATACTCACATGTGGTTTTGTGTTACATCTCACATAAAGCAATTTAGAGAACTCAGCATCTTTTGTTTGGAAGGTGACTAATAGCCACAGGTAGTCTTTAATGGGATTGCTCTTATATCCATTCCATCCTATATTCTCCTCACTGTAAGATCAGTCAGGTATTTACAGCATGCCTGGTATATATAAAGTAATCAGAGAATATAAAGATGAATCAGTCATACATTATACTCAAGCAACTTATATTGTACTAAAAGAGATAAGACATACATAATTATTACAGAAGTTATAAAATAATAAGTGTGAGAGTTTGAAGTAGGAAAATGTCACTTTGGGCTTGGCAGGGAAATGGTAGCAGAAAGCATTATATTTTTGTTGGATGAGTAGCATTTCAATATTTGTAGAAGGAGGAAGTGAGCACTGGAATGAAAGGAAAGATATAAACAAAGCTATGCTGAGAGAACATGGTGATATAGTAGATCAGCAAAGAATATGTGAAGGGAAGAAAAAAAGAATATTGAAAGTGTAGTGAATATATGGCAATAAAACAGATAAACTTGGTTGCAAACATCCAGTAAGAATTTAATCTGCTATTGTATAAATATCATAAAGTTTTGGAACATAGTATAAGGAATCTAGGTAGACCAAAAGATGAAATAATACTTCTGCTTTCTGACACTGAATTGAGGAAATGTGAATTCTTATCATGAATGAATTATGCAACAAGTATTTTCAGAATAAAAATTCAAAATAATGACAGCAAAGGTTAACTCTACACTTTTGACAAATAGAGCTATCCAATGTTAGACACAATTGATTACTAGGTGGGACTGGGACTATAGAGAACATAGTAATAAAATTTCACTTATACATTTATTATTTTAGCACTTAAACTCTATTTATCTAACAGCACTGATTTAGAGGTTAATGAAGGCTGTGGAGAAAGGAGACTTTGAGTTTACTTGGGAATACTTTATTTGAAAAATAATGACAGTCAAGCGTAATAACTGTTACGAAGGGGAAATGCTATAGAAACATATAGCTGGAATACTTAACCTAATTGAGGAGTCAGGGAGGCTCTTCTAGAGAGAAACAAGATTATGTTTACATCCAAGTTTAATGATCGTAGTCTCTATTGTTTATAGTAAGGAAAGGCAGGAGAGGTGTAGGTAGGCAGACTGGAATCCTAGAAAGCAATCTTTAGTTTACTAAGTGTATCAGTGAGGGTTCTTGATTACACACAATAGGAATCAAGTGTAGTTGATTAAAGCATAAAATGAATATATTAGAAAGTTTTCAGGTAGCTCACAAAATCACAGGGAAGGTTAAGAAACAGACGAATAAAATGAGTAGAAGCAAGAGAGGTTTTGTAGCCAAAACCGTAGCCAAAATCATGCTTTAGAACTAATTTGATGACAGCAGCTCCTCCCCATGAACTCAAGTCTCAGTAGCACCCCCTACTAGTACTGGTATTTTGCCAGTAAAATGCAGTTATTGGGCCCTGGAGACCACTGTCCTGGGAGCAGAATACTGCTGCCACCATCGCTAGTGACTCCAGAATGGATTCCTCACTCTTCCTAATTCTCTATGTCACCATTTCCCCATTTAAAGTACAGATGGGTCCAACTTACTGTGTGGACAGACTCTAAGGTGGCTCCTACAATACCTACCTCCTAGGGCCTTTGTGTAATCCCCTCCCCTTGGGTGTGGGCAGAGCCTGAGACTTGCTTGTAAGTAATAGAAAACAGTGATTGGAATGTATGCGATTATGTTACATAAGATTGTAATACTCCTTTTCCAAAGAGACCCTTTTCCTTACTGACTTTGGGGAAACAGGCAGCCATGCTGAAAAGGACCACCTGGCAAGAAACTGAGGGTAGCATCAGATGACAGCCAGCAACAACTGAAGCCCCCAGTCCAGAATCCTTAGGGAATTGAATGCTGCCAATAACCACATAAACATGGAAACAGAACCTACCTCAGCTGAGCCTCAGATGAGATTACAACCCTGGATGACAATTTGAGGTGTTACGAGACCCCAAGACAGAGCATCTACCGGTTAAGTGCTGCTCAGACTGCTGACCCTCAGAAATTATGAAATTAAAAGTGTGTGTTTTTTAAGCCACCATGAGTGTGGCTACTGGTATTTAGCAATAGATAACTAAATCTGTGACAGAACCTAGACCTTTGGCCTGAGCCCTGTCTGTGAGGAATGTTGGAAAAATGAGTATCTGAACTTTGTAGCTTTCAAAGCATAAGAAGTCTCAGAGGATGGAACATACTTATATTTACTTCCTAGAGCTTCTGCAACAATCGACCACAAAGTTGATGACTTAAAACAACAGAAATTTATTCTTTAATAGTTCTGAAGGTCAGAAGTCCAAAATCAAGATGTTAGAAGGGTGATACTCTTTCCAAAAGCTCTAGTAGGTGGTTTTTTGCCTCTTTCTGCTTCCAGTGGCTCCTGGCATTTCTCGGCTTGTTGCTGGCATAATTTCAGTCTCTGCAACTGTCTTCACGTGACCTCCATTTTTTGTCTCTGTGTAACTTTTTCTGTCACTTCTGTGGCTTCTCTCATTGAATTTAGGGCCCACCTCTAATTCAGAATGATATAATCTCAATCCTTACCTTAATTACCTTTATGTTAAGTTTCCATAAACACAAATGTGCTTTTTTTTTTTTTCATCCCCTTCTTAGTGTTAGCAAAGTGCTCCTTGACTGTGAAGACATACACCAGGGGTATTGCCATTGTGATTAGCTTATTCTATCTTTATTTTTTATTTTTTGTTTTTATTTTTTATTTATTTTTATTTTCTTTTTGAGATGGAGTTTTGCTCTTGTTGCCCAGGCTGGAGTGCAATGGCACAATCTCAGCTCACCACAACCTCTGCTTCCTGGGTTCAAATGATTCTCCTGCCTTAGCCTCCTGAGTAGCTAGGATTATAGGCCTGTGACACCGCTCCTGGCTAATTTTTGTATTTGTAGTAGAGACGGAGTTTCACCATTTAGTCAGGCTGGTCTCAAACTCCTGACCTCCAGTGATCCACCCATCTCGGCCTCCCAAACTGTTGAGATTACAGGAGTGAGACACTGTGCCTAGCTCTATCTTAATTTATCTAGCAAATTTTGACATGAAAAGCCACTATCTTCAGTATGGTTTGAAATACTTGTTTATTGTTTAATAAAAAAATATTTTTTGGAAATTTAGGAAAAATTTCACTTTTACTGGAGAAAAATTTTTTAAATCTAAAACCACATCCATTATTTCTGTTCAAAAGTTCCCACCCTTGCTCTCTCCTATGTTGATGTGTGAAGAAAGTGTCCACATTACAATCCACTGAAATAATAAAGGGAGTAAACAATACATTCACATCATTGATATGAAGACCTTGAAAAATGCTCCGAATGGAAAATTTTTCTTTTTGAATATGAAATTGTCTAAATGCTGAGCATATTTCTACTTGTCCTTTATTCAACTTCGAAAGCAAAAAGTTTTACTGGAGCTTTTTGAAGTCCATGATTCTTTCACTTGTGACATTGTGACCAATGAGGTCATGTTTATTGTTTTAAAGGTTCAACCTAGATTCTGGGAGTGAGCCCCAGTAAAGAGCCCTCTGTAAAATTTCTTCTGACTTTCTACATGTTCAGCAGGAGTTCTGGGTAGGAATCATTTATAAAGGAAAATATTTTGATGTAATTAAATACAAGACCTTGTAGCCAACTTTTGTGATTGAAAACAAAATCAGTTTCAAAAATTCTAAATAAAGTTTTGTAAGAATCTGTATACAAATCCAATTGTCATAGATTAATCTTACAAGAAGATGCTGAAGATTGATAAGATCAGTCCCCAAGCTGCCAGCTTCAACCTACATACTCTTCAACCTCTTTTGATCTGACTTTGTTTGCTATGCCCCCTCTTCATCTAGGAGCTAGATATTATCTTCTGCTCATGTATCAAATTCTTGAGTGTGATATTGATTTGACAGTGACTAAATGTGAGTACTCCTCTTCATACAATGGCTGCTTCTTTGCTGTTTAAGCACTAAATTAATAAATATTTTTTAGTATCAGTCAACATCATGCTAAAGGTCAATAGTATTGAGTGGAATCATAATATAGCAAGAGTCCTTAACAAACAGTATTCTGTAGTTCCTATATAATGTTGAGAGCTTTTAGTATATCCAACTATCTGTATAGTAAGTGTTTAAGCCATTCACAAATAAAGAAGGAATATAATCTTGGGTCATAGAAGTCAAAAGATTTCATTAGCAAGCTTCCAACCACATTAGCAAGCTGATGTGATGTGAAATCACACCAGCATTAAATTTGAATATGATATTTGTCACCTATTGATCACCAAGATTGATTTAGTATCAAGTTCTGCTTCAAGGTAGAGACACCAAACCCAAAATGCTGTCTCAATCATTTACCTTAACTGTAGACATAATACTGACCTCCAAATCTATATTTGGACTGGTTGCAAATATTCTTTGAAGTTCAACTTTCTTCTAATAGCAAGAAAAGATCACCAAGAAGATTGTTCAAAGATACATCTAAGCAATCAACCCAATAAAAATTTAATACCATTCAAATGAGCTTCTCAGAGGTATAAATGTCTTATTCATTCATCTATTCATTTATTTTAATGTATTTATTTGTTGACTGTTCTGGGCCAGGCCTTGTGCTAGATGTCTTTTTAAATCCTGTATTAGATGTTTTATTGCCCTTAGTTCTGATAATTCTTCTTAGTAGGTGATATTTTCCTCATTTTATAAATGAAAAAAGTGAGACTCGGCATATGTGGACTGTAGCAAATAAGTTATTTGACTTAAACACACTCTATAGATTTACGTAAAGTCAAGATTTATGTAAAGTAAATAAACATCGTATAATAGGAACATTGTTTTGGCAGCAAGTATACTAACATTGGATTAAGCAACTTGAGGTTTACTTTTCTCATATAATTAGATATATGTAGATAGTCTGTTAGTATTAGTTCAATAGCTCAAAGATATCAAAACCAACATTTCTGAAATCCCCTTGGTCTCCCCACTATCCTCAGTTACAAGCATCATGTTCACATTTCAGGAAGAGGACAGAGGAAGGAAGTGGTGCTAATGATACTAATTCAACCCTTGTGCCTGGGCAAGAGCTTTCCCAGAAGCCACCAAAAAAGATTTGTGTTCCTGTACCAAGATATCTATCACAGGACAGGTCTCCATTGCAAGAAAATCTGACAGAGTGAGTATTTATTTTTTTCTTTTTTTTAGCCTCTGTGATGTAAACAGCAAAAGAAAAAAATGTAGTGAATGGAAGTTGGGCTTCTCAAAAAATTGACCAGAAATCATCATAATTTTAATCTAAAACTATTGCGTATATTTTCATGGTAGAAAAAAAATACACATAGGCAATAATAAAACAACAAGCAGTAGGTCAGCTTGGAAAGGAGTTTGCCAGGTTGTGTGGACACATGATCATTCGTACGTGTGTCTGTGTGTTTATGTGGCAGAGGAGAGTGAAATACAAGGATTAATATTGGGAACCTAGATTTAAAAATAGACATAGAAAAAAGCATCAAGAAAAAAGAGTAAGAGTTAGTTTTTATATGTGACAGCTTATTCTCAATCCAGAAAAATTGCGGAAAACACAGTCAACATAGTTTGATTCCCTCAGTAGCTTCTTATTGCCTAACAACTTTGGTAGATACTCTTAACTTGATATGTCGGGTCTTTCAGTATCTGGCTTCAGACCAATTTTTTTTTTTTTTTTTTTTTTTGCGGGGGTCGTAGTTAGTTTTTTTTTTTTAAATTTAAATTTACCTTCTGGGATACATGTGCAGAACATGCAGGTTTGTTACACAGGTATATATGCGCCATAGTGTTTGCTGCACCTACCAATTCCAGACCCATTTTTAGTTTACCTTCTGCTCTTAATTACCCTATGCTCCAGTCACATAGATCAAACCTACTTGTTGGATGTCCCCCATATTTTTCTTATTTAGTCATGTTATTCTCCATCTTACTCACGTTAATATTTTCTTACTTTTATGCATGATGTCTGCTATTTAAAGTCTTAGTCATCTTCTAAAACTTGTCTTAGGTGACAACTTCTCCATGAAGACTTTTGGATCTCTCCAACTGAATGTGAACATTCAATCTACCTTTCATAACACATTAAAAAATTACTTCTCATATGATGCTTGTCCTGCTTTTTAAAATTTAATTATATACTTGTTAATTTTATTTTAACTTTTTTTTTCTAACCAGACAACATAGTTCAGTTAAGGTTTAGGAAGGATGGGTTGTAGAAGACAATAATTCTTCAGTTTAATTAATTATTAACAGTCATAAGGTTTATGTATTATGGACATAGAGTCTATAGTGTTCATGTTATATGTCGGCCTTGCAGCAAATTCAGCTACTGTCCTTTAAGCCAAGATTGAGGTTGTGTCATTTACTTATTAAATATGTTACTCTACTGCAATGTAGTGTTAACATCTGCACTGTACTCAACAGAAGAGTCAATTACTGTAATACTCTTGATATTAAACCACTAAACATGACCCTTCCTCAATGACAGCAGCTCAAATTGGATCTCATCCTGCTAAACTAGCTGATTCTTTGATCTGTACTGATTGCTTGGCATTACGTATATCAATAGCACTTAAGAGTTTATTATATGCTTCTGAAGCTCATAAAATATTGAGTATAGTTTTATTACATGATTATACTGCTGGGCTACCAAAGCCAGCAGGATGGAGGTGTGGCAGAGTGGAAAATGTTTAATGACATAGCTCAGTGTGTGTCATGGCATCCATATTTCTTCTCAATAGGGGAGCCACTAATGTCATAAACAGAAAATTAAAAATCAGCACTTTTGTAGGGAAAGTAACGTTCCCTCCTGTTGTTGCAGTTTGTGTAGAAGACAGAGGCAACTGGAGGAGAAATTCACATAATGCTGGAAGGCACAGCAGGATGTGTGCAAACCATTTTAGAGGAAAGTAAATACCAAGGCTGGTATTTGAAATATTTACCAAAGAGTTTTCCTCAGATTTTCTTGTACCCTTTGTACTTCTCCCTTTGGAGGAACAATACAGCATTTTAAAAAGCAAAATTCTATAGGATTACCAAAATCCAGTCCTCAGTTATTCAAAAGCCTAAACTCTCAAGAACTCAGATATCACATGACACAAGTGATAACTTTGAAAGATAGGATGAGAAAACAGACTACCCACCTTATCTCTCTCCCCAGATTAGATGGAGTTTCTCTGGGAGAAAATGAGAGAAGGATGAGAGAGAATGTAAACAGCTTAGTATGTGGCATTTCCTCAAGAAGTAGATTTGTGCTCTGCCCCTGCCACACCACATGAAGATTTCTTGAGGAAGGATATAGGAAATTATTCAGGATACACTTGGTGTGACCACACATTAAGAATGCTCATAGAGCTAAAGTGGTGCCTTCCAAAGTATCAGTGTGAAAGGTACCCAGACCCTGATGTGTTTCAAATTCATAAAACATATCCTTTATGCATGGAGAGCAGTACAGCCATGGCATAGGGATTAGTGCCCTAAATTTGGAATAAACAGCAGCCTGGGTGAATCTATGACCATAGGTCAGATGGGAACATGTATGTGTCAATAGGTGTTATAATAGACAAACAATAATATAGACTTTATTGTGTTATCTGACTCCTAACATGGGAAGACCACAGTGTTAAATAAACCCACCCTTCCTCTGGAATTTGTACAGCCAATTTCTGAAATTATATTTAAAATAAATTAAGGCCACTAAAATAAAATATAACACTTCAGTTTTTATACACTCCAATTTGTGGCTTTCCCAATACATGCAACATACCATTGATAAGGATCTAGTGCTCAACCTAGCTTTGAAGAAAGATAACATACTTTCCAGATTTAGAAATGTTAGCCAAATACAAGATATCAACATTCACTGTAAGTGAGTATAAACAAGAGCATCCCATGATTCAGTACATAGGCCATGTAGGCAGAAGAATGAGGAACAGAAGAGGATGAGAAAAGAGACTTAGACTTAAAGACACAGAATCTCATTTCTGTCAGTCTTTAAAAAGGATAAATTTCAAATATTTATTGCAACCTAAATATAATTTAGCATAAGTAGTATATAATTACATATAGTAACATAAGTTGACATCTATTTTCTCATGGTGAGTTTGGTCATTTTTAACAAGGCATTTTGTCTTCATATGTCCCGAGATTAAGAACACCTTCAGGCCTTGTTACAGATAGATATTTGACCAAAGTAGCTCCTCTCTGACTTTTATGTCAGGAGAACCCTGGATGGATAAAATAAGTTAGCAATATACCTTACCAAACGTATTTTATCAAGGCTTCTTTATTTTCTGGGTTTACTGACTACTGTATATCCATGCTGGAGTCCTTGGACTTGTTTGACATAGATGTTATAATACCCCAACCTTCCAACTGTATATGGATGGATATAATTTCCTCTAAATTTTTATCAAGTACATTTTTGAAAACAAGCAGTTAATTGATCATCAAAAAATGACATCAATATTTCATCTCCCTATCAATCCTACTCTAGCCTCACTGTGTAAAAAATATATTTTGATACTTAACCTAGATTCCCATGTGGAAGCCTAATGTTTTCTCAAAAGTATTCAGTGTGCAGAGGAGAGTGGGAGAAAAAAAATCAATGGTTACTTAATGCACTTTCCTATTTAGAATATAAAATGTATAATAGCGGAAGGGAAATAAAATTTCAAAGTGAAAGCAGAAGAATAGACTGAACTACCCTACACATTGAAATGCCTCACATAAAAAAGGATCTGAGAATAAACAGACTAACATCCTACATACTACTTGATACACATATTTAAACCAAAAAATACATTGACAGAGGCCTGGGGGTGCTTGGTGGGGTTAGCCGAGGTATGCATTGCCAGCTAAAAACAAGTTTTCTTTTCATTCTGAATCCTAAGATCAAATTTTGAGATAACCAATTTGAACTAGTTTTCTATTAAATATTTAAGCTATCATCAGAAAAATCTATAAAAAATATTTGAAACCCACTAAATAAAAGAGAACAGCACCTTAATATTTGTGTTGTTGTCCCTAGTGTAAGTAAACAATTCCAGAAAGGGCTGGAAACCTGTAGGAGATGTATTTTTCTATGTAAGTTTGGTGTCAGAGTTTGTTGACAGTGTCTATATTCTGGGGCAAGTATGTGGGTCTCTTATGTAATGAGTAGGATCAGAGCTTCAGAAGGTCAAGGAAGGGAAAGGGAGTTTGTGACCAAAATTTCGTGCTTTGTCTGTGCCTAGAAATCTTTTAGTCCTAGGTTTCCTACAGAATCACCTCTTTATATTTCTTCTTCCCTTTTATTTTCGTTGTCATGACTTTTGGCTTCTGATCAGGGTTTCTGATCTGCTCTGACAATAGCAAGTAATAGTTTTTCCCCTCTTAGTATTGCTACCTTGTCCCTAAGACCTCAAGTCCACGTTACTTGAGATCAGGCAGCTGTCTGCCCATTGTTATTTCACTGAAGTAGTTAGGTCTTTGAGTGTTTAGTGTGAGGTTGGAGAGGATGTGGAAGGATAGGGAAGAGAAGAAGAAATCAATATTGTCAATTAACTGTGTGAGATGATAGAGGGAAATTGAGGAAGGATACACTAATATTTAAGGATATTCAGTAAGGAATAAATAACCAACAGAGCTGCAGTTGTAACACAGCCCAGGCCAGTGCTGAGAGCTACAACCTAAGTACCAGGAATCTGGAGTTCACTTGTTTATCTTTTAGGAGTGTGACCTTAGTGTGATCGTAGGCAGGTCACCTCAACTCCCTGGGTCTCAGTTTCCTCATTAGAAAAATTAGGAGTTTGAACCAGATGAATTCCAAAGTTGCTGTCGGATCTTTTTGGAATAGTATGCTTTTACTTTTGCTTTGAATTCTGTTAGGCAAAGTTTCTATTTCAAAAATAATATAGGTCACCTTGAGTCATGTATTTTTTTCTCTTTGTACCAGCTGAGTTGGCCTTCTTTACATCAGAAATCCTGCAAGATAGAATCCTAGAGAGCGCTGAAAGGAATTTTAATCAATTTCACCCGATGCTGCTACACAAACAGTAAAGTTTGTGGTGCCCAATGAATACTTGATAGGCTATCAATTAGCTGTCCTAGAAAATGTTCACAGATCATTTAGGAGAAACTATTTTTCTGGAAAAAAAATCAAGGTTTTAGGTATGACTTCCAAATAGTGATTTGTATTTAATGTTCTCCCATTGCTACCAGTCCCTTTAGTGAACGCTAAGTATGCATCATTTCCACCTGATTAAATGTCCCTAATTTCTCTAGTCATTCCTCATATGACACGGTTTCTAGATCACTCAGGCCTATGCCAAAATTTCTGTGAAAATGACCTATTATTGCAGCTGATTTCTCATTAATTGGTGGGACTATGGTTCAATGTTTCTGCTAAAATTCAGAAAACTCCACAGTCAACAGAGAGTCTAGAAGATTTATTCACATTATAAATCCAGGATATACTGTCATCAGTTACAGCACAGGAGGTCATAATCTGCTAAAGAAACTGTGACAAGGTTTTTGGGAGCATAAAGCATACAATTCTGGAATTTCTTAAACAAAAAAAAAAAGTAGGCTCATTATAGTTGAATGCATGGTACAATAATACTCTGGGAGAAATGGCATCCTTTACAGTTAAAATAAAGGTAATTGGGGGAAATTAAGGTTTTTATAATTTATACTTTAAAATACTATCACATATGCAATGCTGATGAGGTGCTTGCCTTAAATCTGTAAGGAATAAATAAATACAAACATGAGAGTATTTACACAACCATTCTTGACATAAAGGGAAGAAAGCTTATAATTTCTGAAACATCAAAGAGCTCAATGAGTATTTCCAACCAAAATGCAAATTCTAAAATGATTAATGATGAAAAATCTTTACATCCTACTTTATGTAACCTTTAAATCTGTAGGGTCATCCCTGACAAGAAGCTAAATCTCTTTGAGATCAAGCTTATTTTACAGTAACTTTTTTCGTTTTCTGAATGATGCCTCATTTCACACACTAATTTTTTTAAAAAAATCTTACATTGCAGAGGCAGAGCCTTTTACTTTAGGCATTTCTTGAACTTTATCACTTTTTAAAATTAATGAGTTATTTCTGATTTCCTATTACCTAAGGAATATACCACTTGTTCTATCCTTAAGGTGCTGCACACTTTTAGTCCAGTCTATATCTTCCCCTTCTACTTCCCAAAGTGACCAAAGATCTCATCTCATTACAGCCTCAGTTCATAGTCCCAAATTTCCTCATCTAAATCGTTTAAATTAAGTGGCAATGAGTAACCCATTAAATGAAAGTTGTGGACGCAATTCCTCTACATCTTTGAACTTTTGAAACTAAAGAAACATGTTATGTGCCCCAAACACTCCCAACAAACAATCATCATGGGGCAGGCATAGGATAACAATTACAGGCATTCCTGCTCAAAATAGAACCAAAAATAAACACAAATATTAAGATAAAAATAAAGTAAGAAGTCTTGTAATCCTGCTGGACAATCCAGCCAGACTTCCTTGATTAGGTTTCTAGGCCTAGGAACAATCCTCCAAGGCTCTTGATTTTGCCTCCTGGGACTTGGTTATACCTTTGAGTTTTGGTTTCTGTCCTCTGAGTCATCTCTGTTTATCCACAGTGGGGCTGAGTATTTTTATCAACCTTCCTATAAAATTCTGAGCATTCAAAAGCCTCTTTTTACTTCACACTCTTTCTGTTTCTTGTCCTCCAAGTGGGAAATGTTTCTGCTGACATAATATTCTCAAGAATTTTGTGGACCTTGTGTGGTTTCATAGGGCATTTATTCTGTTAGATAAAGGCAACATCCACAGATTTTTGAAATAATGGCTTTTCTGTTCTGGCCTTCTGTTGAGGTGGTTTAGGAATAATACTCTCGAGCTTCCTCGAGGCTTTCTGGTTTGATTGAGATGCTCTGTAGGGCAAGCCCTTAATATCTTGTGACTCTGACCTTTTGATCTTTAGAAGTTTCAGCAAAAAAGGCTTTTTGAAGTTTCAGCAAAAGGGTCAGTCTTTTCTCTAGAATATGCTTCCAGACAGTGAATTTCTTAGTTTAACAGTTCTTCCCTCAATCTCTCATCTTTCTTCTCTCATTTTACTATAAGCCACAAATCAGGCAGAATCTTCAATCACTTGCTTGTAGATCTTCTTAGCTCTGTACCCAAGTTCATCACATATAAATTCAGCTTTATACATAACTGTAGGACACAGTTTCCACCACTATAGAACAAGGATCCAACCTGCTTGCTCCCATATTCAATAATATATTCTTCTCCTCGTGAACCCTCATCAGTAGCATTTTCAACATTCATATTTCTACTAGCAGTGTGTTCAAGGCAATTGAGGCTTTCTCTGGCATGCTTCTCAACACTGTTCTCAAATGTCCAGCTTCTTCTCACTGCTTAGTTCCAAAGCCCTTCCATATTTTCAGGTATTTGTTACAGTAGCACCTGGCTTTTGGGTACCAAAATCTGTATTAGTTTTCTATTGCAATGTAATAAATTGCCTTAATTTAACAGCTTAAGACAACACCCATTTGTCAATTCACAGTTATTTAGGTCATAAGTATGGACATGGTACAACTGGATTCTTCGCTCAAAGTAGCCAAAAGCTGACATCAAGATGTCTTCTGGGGCTGCAGTTCTCATTTGAGGTTTGGAGTCCCCTTCCAAACTCACTGTATGTTGGAAGAAGTCAGTTTCTAGTGATAGTAGGTCTGAGATCCTTCTCTCCTTGGTGGCTATCAGCTGGGGGCCTCAACTCCTCATGGTTACCCCTCTCTATTGGCAATTTACAAGATGATGCTTGCTTTTGTACTGCCAGCCAGAATGCATCTTTCTTACAACTTCTTCTGCTACCAGTTGGACAGAACTCTAAAGGGTTCATGTGATCATGTCAAGCCCACCTGGATGATCTCCCTTTCTTAAAGTCAACTGTAACACAACCTAATCACAGGAGTAAAATCTATTGTCTTCATGATCCCTAGGATTATACAGGGCATGCACTTCAGAGGCAAGGAAAATCTTGGGGAGACATCTTAGAATTCTACCTACCGTTATAATAATATGTTAAATTATCTGGAAGGATATCATCTAGCTCAATGTCTGCCTCTAAAGGCCTATATAAATCAGGTTTAATTCTTTTTTTTCCCATTCAGATATAATAACAAGGAGGCAATAATAGTTGCAAAGTTCCCATAATTTTTGTATTCTGAGCTTTACTATTTTAAGTAATGCTTGATGAATCCCAGTGAATTCTATATTGAGATAAAACTCAATACACTAAATATAACAGAAACTTAAGTTTTATATAAATCATTCATGAAGAAAAAGTCTTTTAAATACAAATAATTCAGTTTCATCCGAAGATCAAATATCTTTTATTGCAAAAATTGGGCTTATAGAAATAATTATGGAAAGATAATAAAATGTTTGTTTTACCTTATACACATTTGCATACTAATAAATGTAACTATTGGGTACAAAAGGGGAAAAATAGTTTTGCGTATATAAGTGCAACCGAGAAACACTTAGAGGCCTTAGTGCTGTTGTCCTTAATCTTGGCTGCCAAAAAGCACTTAGCATATGTAAAAAAATACAGTAAAACAAAACACAAACAAAGAAATTCCCGGGTCCCATTCTGAAAGATTCTAATTCAATTGCAGGTCATGGCCATAATCTTGGAAATGGCAATAGCCAAGGTCCTTCGGAAGCTCACAATCTAAAGTAAAAAAAAAAGATACTTGAAAAATCAGCTGGCACCAAGGATCCTTGCACCAAGGATTTAATGTTAACTTTAAACATTGAGGTTTCTCTGCATCTATTGAGATAATCATGTGGTTTTTGTCATTGGTTCTGTTTATGTGATGGATTACATTTATTGATTTGCATATGTTGAACCAGCCTTGCATCCCAGGGATGAAGCCAGCTTGATCGTGGTGGATAAGCTTTTTGATGTGCTGCCAGATTTGGTTTGCCATTATTTTAAAGAGGATTTTCGCATAGATGTTCATTAGGGATATTGGCCTGAAATTTTCTTTTTTTGTTGTGTTTCTGCCAGGTTTTGGTATCAGGATGATGCTGGCCTCATAAAATGAGTTAGGGAGGAGTCCCTCTTTTTCCATTGTTTGCAATCATTTCAGGAGGAATGGTATCAGCTCCTCTTTGTACCTCTGGTAGAATTCGGCTGTGAATCCATCTGGTCCTGGGCTTTTTCTGGTTGATAGGCTATTGATTACTGCTTCAATTTCAGAACCTGTTCTATCCTTGGTCTATTCAAAGATTCAACTTCTTCTTGATTTAATATTGGGAGGGCGTATGTGTCCAAGAATTTGTCCATTTCTTCTAGTTCTAGTCTATTTGCATAAAGGTGTTTATAGTATTCTCTGATGGTAGTTTGTATATCTGTGGGATCAGTGGTGATATTCCCTTTATCATTTTTTATTGTGTTTATTTGATGCTTCTCTCTTTTCCTCTTTATTAGTCTGGCTAGCAGTCTATCTATTTTGTTATTCTTTTCAAAAAACAAGCTCCTGGATTCATTGATATTTTGAAGGGTTTTTCGTGTCTCTATCTCTTTCAGTTCTGCTCTGATCTTGGTTATTTCTTGTCTTCTGCTAGCTTTTGAATTTGTTTGCTCTTGCGTCTCTAGTTCTTTTAATTGTGATGTTAGAGTGTCAATTTTAGATCTTCCCACTTTCTCCTGTGAGTCTTCAGTGCTATCAATTTCCCTCTAAACATTGCTTTAGCTGTGTCTCAGAGATTCTGGTATGTTGTGTCTTTGTTCTAATTGGTTTCAAGGAACTTATTTATCTCTGCCTTAATTTCATTATTTACCCAGTGGTCATTCAGGAGCAGGTTGTTCAGTTTCCACGTAGTTGTGTGGTTTGAGTGAGTTTCTTAATCCGGAGTTCTAATTTGATTGCACTGTGGTCTGAGACAGTGATTGTTATGATTTCCATTTTTTTGCATTTGCTGAGGAGTGTTTTACTACCAATTATGTGGTCAATTTTAGAATAAGTGTGATGTGGTGCTGAGAAGAATGTATATTATGTTGCTTTGGGGTGGAGAGTTCTGTAGATGTCTATTGGGTCCGCCTGGTCCAAAGCTGAGTTCAAGTCCTGAATATCCTTGTTAATTTTCTGTCTCATTGATCTGTCTAATATTGACAGTGGGGTGTTAAAGTCTCCCACTATTATTATGTGGGAGTCTAAGTCTCTTTCTAGGTCTCTAAGAACTAGCTTTATGAATCTGGGTGCTCCTGTATTGGGTGCATATATATTTAGGATAGTTAGCTCTTCTTGTGGCATTGATCACTTTACCATTATGTAATGGCCTTCTTTGTCTCTTTTGATCTTTGTTGGTTTAAAGTCTGTTTTATCAGAGACTAGGATTGCAAATCCTGCTTTTTTTGCTTTCCATTTGCTTAATAAATATTCTTCCATCCCTTTATTTTTAGTGTGTCTTTGCACATGAGATGGGCCTCCTAAATACAGTGCACCGATGGGTCTTGACTCTATCAAATTTGCCAGCATGTGGCTTTTAATTGGGGCATTTAGTCCATTTACATTTAAGTTTAATATTGTTATGTGTGAAAATGATTCTGTCATTACGATGATAGCTGTTTATTTTGCCCATTAGTTGATGCAGTTTCTGCATAGTGTTGATGACCTTTACAATTCAATAAAATTCAACACCGCTTCATGCTAAAAACTCTCAACAAACTAGGTATTGATGGAACAAATGTCAAAATAATAAGAGCTATTCATGACAAACACACAGTCAATATCATACTGAATGGGCAGAGCTGGAAGCATTCCCTTTGAAAACTGGCACAAGACAGGGATGCCCTCTCTCACCATTCCTATTCAACATAGTGTTGGAAGTTCTGGCCAGGGCAATCAGGCAAGAGAAAGAAATAAAGGGCATTCAAATAGGAAGAGAGGAAGTCAAATTGTCTCTATTTGTAGATGACATGATTGTATATTTAGAAAACCCCATCGTCTCAGCCCAAAATCTCCTTAAGCTGATAAGCAAGTTCAGCAAAATCTCAGGATACATAATCAATGTGCAAAAATCACAAACATTCCTATACACCAATAATAGAAAAAACAGAGAGCCAAATCATGAGTGAACTCCCATTCACAATTGCTACAAAGAGAATAAAATACCTAGGAATCCAACTTACAAGGGATGTGAAGGATCTTTTCAAAGAGAACTACAAACCACTGCTCAAGGAAATAAGAAAGGTCACAAACAAATGGAAAAATATTCCATGCTCATGGATAGGAGGAATTAATATCATGAAAATGGCCACACTGCCCAAAGAAATTTATAGATTCAATGCTGTCCCCATCAAGCTACCATTGACTTTCTTCACAGAATAAGAAAAAACTACTTTAAATTTCATATGGAACCAAAAAAGAGCCCGTATAGCCAAGACAATCCTAAGCAAAAAGAACAAACCTGGAGGCATCACTCTACCTGACTTCAACCTATATTACAAGGCTACAGTAACCAAAACAGCAAGGTACTGGTACCAAAACAGATATATAGACCCATGGAACAGAACAGAGGCCTCAGAAATAACACCACACATCTACAACCATCTAATCTTTAACAAACCTGACAAAAACAGCAATAGGGAAATGATTCCCTATTTAATAAATGGTGTTGGAAAAACTGGCTAGCCATATGCAGAAAACTGAAACTGGACTCCTTCCTTACACCTTATACAAAAATTTACTCAAGATGGATTAAAGACTTAAACATAAGAACTAAAATCATAAAAACCCTAGAAGAAAACCTAGGCAATACCATTCAGGACATAGGCATGGGCAAAGTCTTCATGACTAAAACACCAAAAGCAATGGCAACAAAAGCCATAATTGACAAATGGGATCAAATTAAAGAGCTTCTGCACAGCAAAAGAAACGATCATCAGGTTAAACAGGCAACCTACAGAATGGGAGAAAATTTTTGCAATCTATCTATCTGACAAAGGGCTAATATCCAGAACCTACAAGGAACTTCAACAAATTTACAACAAAAAACAAACAACCCCATCAAAAAGTGGGTGAAGGATATGAACAGACACTTCTCCAAAGAAGACTCTAATGTGTCCAACAAACATATGAAAAAAAATCTCATCATCACTGCTCATTAGAGAAATGCAAATCAAAACCACAATGAGATACTATCTCATGCCAGTTAGAATGGTGATCATTAAAAAGTCAGGAAACAACAGATGCTGGAGAGCATGTGGAGAAATAGGAACATTTTTACACTGTTGGTGGAGGTGTAAATTAGTTCAACCATTGTGGAAGACAGTGTGGTGATTCCTCAAGGATCTAAAACCAGAAATACCATATGACCCAGCAATCCTATTACTGGGTATATACTCAAAGGATTATAAATCATTCTACCATAAAGACACATGCACATGTATGTTTATTGCAACACTATTCACAATAGCAAAGACTTGGAACCAACCCAAATTCCTATCAATGATAGACTGGATTAAGAAAATGTGGCACATATACACCATGAAATACTATGCAGCCATAAAAAATGATGAGTTCATGTTCTTTGCAGGGACATGGATGAAGCTGGAAACTATTATTCTCAGCAAACTAAAACAGGAAAGAGGAACAGAAAACCAAACACCGCATGTTCTTACTCATAAGAGGGAGTTGAACAATGAGAACACATGGACACAAGAAGGGGAACATCACACGCTGGGGCCTGTTGGGGGTGGGGGCTAGGGGAGGGATAGCATTAGGAGAAATCCCTAACGTAGATGACGGGTTGATTGGTGCGGCAAACCACCATGGCACATGTACACCTATGTAACAAACCTGCATGTTCTGCACATGTATCCCAGAACTTAAAGTATAAAAAAAATTAAGGTTTAATATAGGTAAAGTACAATGTCACAAGTGATGAATAATCAGAAAGGAGCATACCCATGTAATACACACTTATGTCACAAAATAGAATAATAAAAAAAATCAGAGCCCCCCTCCCCCAACCATACCCCTTTCAAAGCATTAAACACTGCCTTTTCAAGGGCAACCATTTCCTTGAATTTTAACACCAAAAATAGTTTTACCTATTTTGAATTTCATACTGATGAAGTAATAGAGTTTTAAAAATCTAAATTGTTTCACTCAATATTCTCTTTGCCAGATTAATTCATGCCATTGTATGTAGCAAAGGTTTGTTTCTTGTTATTCTCTATATTTTCTCAACTGTTTAAATACATTACAATTATTTATCTGTTGATGCACATTTGGGTTATTTCCCAGTTTGGAGCAATTGTAAATGATGCTTCTGTAAATGTTTCCAAATTATAACTGTCTTTTGGTGCACATGTGTACACATTTCTAGAATGGTGATTGCTGAGTCATAAAGCATGTATATGTTCATTTATACTTACTTTCATGTAGCTTTCCGAGGGTGATTATACTAAGTTTTACTTCTGCAAGCAGTATGTGATAGCTCTTATTGCTCTATGTGTTTATCAACACTATGGTCAATCTTCTACAATTTTTTAGCTATTATGGTGGCTATGTGATGATGGCTCACTGCAGTTTTATTTTTCATTTCATTCAATTTCCCTAGTGATGACAATTTGGGTGTCCTCTCAGCTGAAGTGCCTGTTCAAGCCTTTTGCTCATTTTTCCACTGGGGTCTGACAATTTCCTATTGATTTACAGAAATTCTTTGTATAATCTGGCCTCACATCCTACTGGATACAACATATTTTGCAAACGTCATGTGTTAGTCTATAGGTTGTTTTGCTCACGTTTTGTTTTGCTCACGTTTAAAGATTTCTTTTGTTTAAGAGAGGCTTTAATTTTAATGTAGTTAAAAATGTTCTTCTAGATAGTTATTACCTCTTGTAATGGTCTATATGCTTTACTGTTTTGCCTTTCACTTTTAGTTTTATTAAATAACTGGAATTTTCTGTGTACAGTACAAAGTAAAAATGAAGCCATTGTTTTTCTGTGCAGATAATCCAATTAAACCAGTAGCACTGGTTGAAAAGATGAGGTAAACATTTCTAGAGATAATTTGAAGTTTTGGATAATGATATATTACACTAGTGGGGTCATGAATTTGCTCCTGTCAGATACCTAGGGGAAGAGCATGCTACCTTCATAAAAACAGGGATTGAGAAAATTTTAATCTTGAAAGGGTTGGTATATTTCAGGTTGACTCTTATTCCTAGGGTGTAAACTTTTGACATCCCAGTTTGGGACCCTTCACTCTTGATGGTCTTTGATCTCCAATTTTTATTCCCCTAGCCTCTGAACCTACCAAAAGTTCTTGTTTCACTTTCTTAGCCTCTCGACTTCCACTTTCAAATCAGCAAATGCTTTAAGGGAATGAGTTGTCCCAAGTATCAGGTTCACATTTCTGTGTTTCTTTCATTTTTCGGATCTTGGTCTGATGAACCTTATTTCCTTGATAGCTTACAAACAATGCTTACACACAGACCTTACTTTATTATTTTGTCTGCAATTTTCCAGTCATTCTAAGCAGGAGAGTTCTTTAAAAATAAACTAGTTTACATTGTCTGAAACAAAACTTACAAAATGTAATTTAAGACCGCTAATGACTACTTAACTTCCTAAAAGAGATAGGAATCCAGGATATTCCTGTGTTTCTGACTCTTCCTACCATATAATAAAACATCTATTTAATTTAACTCATCAAAAGTACTTAGTTGATTCCTGAAAGCTCTTTTAAGAGAGGTTATATGAAATCAGCTGGGACAGGTCAGCGGAAGAAATACATTTTTGGCCAGAGAAGGGAGTCCGTTATGCACCTTTCAAATAATAACCCAGAAGGAAAGTCTGACTCTGCCTCTGTAAATAGCTTTCCTGGTAATAGGGATGGTAGAGGTCATCTGTGCTTGTAATAGTGGTGTCTGGAAACTAATCGTAACACCTGTTTCTAGAGTATAAATTGCACAGACAATAGTGGCTCAGAGCCTGGTTTTGATAGGACAGAAATACTGTGATATTCCTTCAGGTATTGATTTTTCCCCATTTATTACTTTGTCCCAGGACTTTGGTATTGATTAAAAAGACACTGCTAGTTAATTTTGAGGCCATAGCTATGTGGCTAAGGAGAAGCCACAGGTTAGTGGTATTGCCTATCTTACTCAAGCCAAAACAAAGATACATTTAGTTTATGTCACCCTCTGTTCTCTATCTCAGTCTTTCTATTTATATTCAAGCCTTAAGTTTGTTTAGCCACATGATACAATAAGGCCTTATAATCTGTCTTTATTTATGGGTAAACTAATGTTTTCATCACTTGCTTCACTCTTGATAAGAATACTTATGCTGAAAATAGTGGGGAAGACAGGAATATTCTGAATCCACATATTTCTCTCGGGGAGTCTTCTGTTTAATATTTTCAAACAGAGAAAATAACTTACTACATTTGCTTCTTTTATAGCCATTAGTAGTACTAAGTAACTCATATGTACACAATATACAAAAATTCCAAAGTTTCTGAAAGTATGGTCAGCAGATAACCTGCATGATCAATATTTGCAGATAACCTGCAGAATGCATGATCAATATTTAAATTTGTCGGTCTCACCCCAGATCTAAGTCCACATCTCTGGTGGAGGGCCCAGGAATTGACATTTAAATGTTTCCTGTGCAAACATGATTCATATACACACTATTTAATATGCACAGTGGAAAGTTCTGTCACATATATTACCTCACAGAGCCTTCTGGAGTAGGTATAATTATCTCCAATTTCCCAGTGAGGAAACTGAGACACAGAGATGTAAACCATTGGAATAAATTCATATGTAAACTGATCTGGGATGCCAGTTCTCCTGATGCCAGGTTCAATGCTTATCTCATTACATCATCCTTACTCTCTGCAAAGAATCTCTGTCTTAGAAAAGAGATTTTGTCCACACAGAGCTTTCTAAGCAGCATAGCCCAAATGCCTGTCCTTTGCTCTGTGGAACCAATTATTGAGATCGTGTATTATGATAACTTTCAGCACACACACTGGGCTTTTCATTTTCAGAGTGCCCAATTTTGATAAAGCACTTTGGAGCTTGCTTGGAGGTTCTGTATATAAAAGCCATGTCATGGATAAAGCAGGTTTAACACCTGTGAGTGATAGCACAATATGAGGGTCACCAGGAGCAGAGACACTGCCACTGTTAGAGCAGGTAGAGAAGACTTATAGCAGACTTTGATGAATGACTCAGCCTCAAGTCCACAGATGTAAAGCTCATTAAATGCAATCCAGAATTACCTTCTCTAACAAATGAGAAAAAGTGACATTTTTCCTATCTGAGATCTTTAGCATTTTGTGGGCCAGCAAAATAAGTTACTGATAAAGACTGGTCTTCTAATTTACTTAGCTGGGAAGAATTTCAAGTATTCCCTCCAGCAAACACATGAAAATAACAACCATGGCCACTAGTAACAGCTACTGATATTGAATGCTCACTATATTCCACAAAGTTAGCCTATAGCTTATTATAACTATCTTACTTCACAGATTTGGATCATGATCCCCAAACACACAATCTCTATTGACATTCCTGAATGTTGAAATCCCAAAAGATCAAAACCTTTATTTATACAATGTATTGTATGTTTCAAAATAGCTGGAAGATAGGACATGTTTCCATATCCTGGATGATATATGCTGGAGGTGGTGGATACCCTAAATACACTGACTGTATCATTATACTTTCTAAGCATGTAACAAAATATCACATGTACTCCATAAATATGAAGACATATTATGTGTCAATAAAAATAAAAATGCATCATTTGCCTGCAGTGGAATCCCTTCCAGCTGATAACATTCGAGGAGCTTTTAATAAATTAAAGTTGCATTTGCCTTAAGAAGCCAGTGATAGGGAAGGCACTAAGATGGTTGACTAGAAGCAGCTAGTGTGTGCTGCTTTCACAGAAGAAAAAGTGTCAAGTAAATACTAGCTCTTCAACTGCAACATCCAGGTGGACACATTGGGATTCATCAAGGAAACAGCTCGACCCATGGAGAATGGAGAGGAGTGAGACAGGATGACCACCCACCCAGGCATGGCATGGAGCCAGGAGAGACCTCACACTGCAGGGAAATGGTGAGTGAGTGAGAATCCCCAGGAGCCCACACTTCTGCCATGGACCTTTGCAACTCTGGGCTCAGGAGATCTGCTATTACCCCCAACAACTGAGGCCTCCAGACTAACATGGAGAGCTTTGTGGAGTCTGGCTTCCGCTCATGTACACCCAGAGTCCTGGGAGCCTTGAATCCCTGGGCATCCTGGCATTCACAGCTGCAGGTCTGGCAACAGGGAGGTCAGGCTCCCTTGCATGCTCCCAGGAAGGGGACAAGAACTATGGATCTGAGCAGGGACAGACTGCAAGCCTTGCCTCCAATGCACCTCGCAGGAAAAATCCCACTGGCCTGGGACTCTAGCATGGCCACACCAAAACTGCCTAGGCTCTCAGACCAGTAGCATCTCTGTACTTCCCTGGGATGGAGCTTCCAGAGATAGAGGCTGGCCACGAGCTTTGCTGCCCCACAGCCCTCACCCTGTTGCCCTCAGGCTCTGGATGGTGCATGGTGATTAGGGACTGCCACGGAACTCCAGCACAGTGAAGCCACCTCATGGAAAAGTGGCCAGACTGTTTTCCACATAGTTCCCTTCCCTGCTTCTCCTCACTTAGTGGGGCCTTCTGACCTAGACTCCAGCACAACTACGCTGCCTCTGTCTGAAAACTTCAGTGGGTGGCAGCTCTGCTTTTCTCTCTGGAGGAAATCCCAGAGACAATCCACAGTCCCTCCATCACTTTAGCTGAAGTGGTACTGCCCTAACTGCCCTCGGGCTGGGGAAGGAACAAAGGGCCTGGTGGCTGTGCTGGCAACTCCAGCACACTGCAGCCACCAGATGGAGGGGAGCCAAGTCTCTCTTCCCAGGCCCTACCCCACACTCTTCACCAAACAGAGCCCCTGGCTCAGGACCACAGAACAGCCACCCCACCCATGGCTGAGCATACCAACTGGTAGTGTCATAGGATCTGTAGTGTGTAACTTTTCCAGCCAGAAATCTGTGAAAGGTGGCACCTTTACCCAAGTTTTGCTTGAGCCCACTGGTCTCATTCTGCCCACTTGGCCTGGCAGGCTTCCCCTGGGAGCACTACTGGCCTGGATCCCATGCCTGCCAGGGTGGGCCAGGTGCAGAGAAGTGAGGGGTGGGTGAGCAAGCATGGGGTCCAGACACTGTGCACAGCCAGGTGTGCTGGCTGCAGAGGGGTGAGCAGCTGCAGGCTCCAGCACAGGTGCTAGCTCCATCCAAGGCTGTGGCTGGATCAAGTGTACTGCAAGTGCCTTCCACTGCAGGCACCGGGGAATGCTTTGGTACCTAGAAGCTTGGAGATGCCAGGAACCATAGAACCCCAAAGAGGGTGTCACAGCCCTGGTTCAGGGAGCCCCTAGGTTTGGGATCCCCAAAGGGCCACAGTTCTTTCCTTCTTATTGCCTGAAACATGGCAAGTGGGGGCATGTTTCAGCCCCGTTTGTGTTACAGCTCTTTCAGTCCCACCATTCAGCAGCTCTCAAGTTCTTGTCCTGCATCTAAGAACAATGAGGAATGCAGACAACTGGAGGGTGTGCAAGGAAGAGAGGAGATTCACTGAGCGATGGAGAAGCTCTCAAGTGACCCAAAGTGGTTAGCTTCTTTCCACAGGCAGGTCATCCCAATATCTGCCTGAGTCTGGCTGAGTTCAGGGTTTGTATGGGCTTCAGAGGGGAGGAAATGTGTGCTGATTGGTCCATAGGCGGCCAAGGGCAGGGCCAGAAAAAACATGATAAGTGCTCACTCCAGTCCACAGAACTGGCAGCCCAGCCCCCAAGCTTCAGGCCATCCCTGGCTTGAAGGTGGAGTTTCACTGGAGACCTTCTCCTTTCTGTCCAGGCTCCTGCCACTGTTCATGGCACCCAGGCTCTTGACTCCTACCACTGTTCATGGCACCCAGGCTGTTCATGCTGAGAGGTACCTGCAGGCCTGTGCTGAGCCACCCTCAGCACCCTCTTGGCCTCCCTCCTGGATTCAGGTGATTCCCTTGCCTCAGCCTGCTGAGTAGCTTGGATTACAGGCATACACCACCCCATTTAGTAGAAATGGGGTTTCACCATGTTGCTCAGGCTGGTCTCAAACTCCTGACTTCATGATCCACCTGCCTCGGCCTCCCAAAGTGCTGGGATTACAGGTGTGAGCCACCACATCCAGCCAAAAATCAGTAACATTCTTATAAATCAACAACGTTCAAGCTGAGAGCCAAATCAAGAATGGAATCTCATTCACAATTGCCACACAGACAAAAATAAAACATGTAGGCATATAGCTAACCAGGGAAGAGAAAGATCTCTACAAGACTTATGAAACACTGATCAAATAAATCAGAGATGACACAAACAATTGAAAAACATTTCATGCCCATGGATAGGAAGAATCAATATTGTTAAAATGGCCATACTGCCCAAAACAACTTATAAATTCAATGTTATTGCTGTCAAACTACCAATGACATTCTTCACAGAACTAGAAAAACTATTTTAAAATTCATATGGAACTACAAAGGAACCTGAATAGCCAAGTAATCCTAAGCAAGAAGAACAAAACTGGGGGCATCATGTTACCCGACTTCAAATTATACCACACAACTACAGTAACCAAAACAGCATAGTACTGGTACAAAAACACACACATAAACCAATGGAACACAATAGAGAGCCCAGAAATAATGCCTCATACTTACAACCATCTGACATTCAACAAAGTCAACAAAAACAAGCAATGGGGAATTGATTGCCTATAAAATAAATGTTGCTGGGATAACTGGATAGCCATATGTGGAAGATTGAAACTGAACTCCTTCCTTACACTATATACAAAAGTCAACTCAAGATGGATTAAAGACGTTACTGTAAAACCTAAAACTATAAAAAGCGAGATAACCTAGGAAATATCATTCTGGACATAGAAACTGGCAAAGATTTCATGACAAAGATGCCAAAAGCAATCGCAGCAAAAACAAAAATTGACAAATGGGACCTAATTAAACTAAAGAGCTGGTGCACAGCAAAAGAAACAATCAACACAGTAAACAGAATCTACAGAATGGGACAAGGTATTTGCAAGCTATGCATCCAACAAAGTTCTAATGTCCAGAAACTATAAGTAACTTAAACAAATTTACATGCAAAAACACAAAAGCAAACAATCCCATTAAAAAGTGGGCAAAGAACATGAACAGACACTTTTCAAGAAAAGACATACACATAGCCAACAAACATCTTAAAAGATGCCCGTCATCCCTAGTCACTGAATAAATGCAATCAAAACCACAAGATACCATCTTACATCAGTCAGAATGGCTATTATTAAAAACTCAAAAAATAACAGATGCTGGTGAAGTTGTGGAGAAAAGAGAATGCTTATACACTGCTAGTGGGAATGTAAATTAGTTCAGTCATTGAGGACAGCAGTGTGGTGATTCCTTAAAGAATTTAAGACAGAATTACTATTTGATCCAGCAATCCCATTGTTAGGTATATACCCAAAGGAATATAAATTGTATGCCATAAAGACACATGCACACATATCTTTATTGCAGCACTATTCATAATAGCAAAGACATGAAATCTACTGAAATGCCTATCAATGGTAGACTGGATAAACAAAATGTGGTACATATACACCATGAAATACTATGCAGCCATAAGAAAGAAAGAGATCATGTCCTTTGCAGCAACATGGGTGGAACTGGGGTCCATAATACTAAGAAAACTAATGCAGAAACAGAAAACCAAACACTGTATGCTGTATGTTCTCACTTATAAATGTGAGCTAAACAATGAGAACACATGAACACGAAGAGGGTAACGGCAGATATGGGAACTGACTTGAGGGTGGAGTGTGGGGAGAGGGAGAGAATGAAAAAACTACCTATTGAGCACTATGCTTATTAACTGGGTGATGAAATGATCTCTACAGCAAACCTCCAAGACACACGGTTTACTTATATAACAAACCTGCACATATACCCTTGAACCTAAAATAGAAATTTTTTTAAAAAGCCAGTGAAATTACTGACTGCTTTGAAAATAATTATATGCACTCTAGGATAAGAAGACTTGCAATGGTGTTGCAGTTCACTCACCACTCCACCAAATTTGTGGTCCATATATGAGTTCATGTGAAATTGACTTATGCGTGTTGAAAACTACATAGAAGCATGGCACATAAGATGGAAAAATTTAATAGTGCATGCTCATGTCCATGTATATTGAATCACAAAATAATTTCAAAAAGAGCAACACCACTTAGAAAATGAATGTGAGGCCTGGCACTGTCACTTACGCCTGTAATTCTAGCACTTTGGGAGGCTGAGGTGTGAGGACTGCTTGAGCCCAGGATTTTGAGATCAGCCTGAGCAACAGAGTGAGACCTTGCCTCTATTAAAAACAATTAATATGAATGTATTCTCCAAGGAAAGCCATGCAAAAAATTCTCCAAGGAAAAAGCAGCTATTCATTGCAATGCAAGATTTTGAAATATAGTTAATGGAAAGTTGGCCAGCTCTTATGGCCTACCTCTGTGAAATTGCCCTTAATCTACCCCTGTAAGACGCTTTCTCATACACCAGATTTCCTTTTTAGGTTTTTTTGTTTTTGTTTTTTGGATTTTGCTCTCACTGTTTTGAGTTGTCAGCATTATTTTGGTACAATTTGCTATGCTATGTATTTCATCTCTGCATTATTTACAATACCAGAGGTATAAATCGTGTAGACGTTTATGAAGTCATAATTTGTTTTATGTATTTTTTGCAAACTTGACTCCACAAAGGTGCATTATCACAATATTGACTTTGTATTTAAGCATTGTGTTTGTACATAAAAACATTGAAACTTCCTCAATAAATGTAGAGATGTCCTTTTTGTACATTTGCATTTGTGAAAGATAAAATTTCCTCAGATCTTGGCTTTTTGGATGACTGTAAATGTATTGGTGACCTATCAAGGTTTTTGATTGATCTTGTCAAAACACATAGGTTGTCAACCATGGTATTTCAAATTACCATAGTTATATGAGCTATTTATTCATGAATCTAGTTTTCCTGCTAATGACTAAAATGCCCGTGTGACTCTTGTTAGTATACCTGAGTGCTTATGCTTTCAAAAATATGTATGCTATTATTGCCTATTATGTAAGTGGTCTATGAAGTTTTCTGTTGTATTTTTATGTTTCTCAAATAAATCCTCTTTTAAACATGTAAGTAAATTTATTTTAAATAATTTTCTCATTTTTCCAGAATTATATTTCAGAATTTTGACCTTTCTGGATTTCAACGTTCAAAATTATGGTGTTCAGGATTATGGCATTTGGGATTGTGATTGGCTCCCATGGTAAGGACTGACTACTATCCAAACAGAAAAGATAACCTAAAGCCCCATGGCTGAGGCAAAAGTTATTTCATTCACCATGATTCCACCTTCTTATTGCTGTGTGTGCTCCATTCCCATAGTTCCTCACCTGAAGGTGAAAGATTTATTGCAAGACTCATGTTGTTTGTGGGGGCTGGCTCAGCAAATCTAAAATCACTAAGGCAGGCCATCAGGAAGGGCAGACTAGAGCTCTGGGACATGAAGTAGAGGTGACGTCCATGGATGGAATTTCTTCAGGGAAACTTCAGCTCTATTTGTAAGACCTTTTAATTGATTGAATCACAGCTACCCAGATTATCTGGGATAATCTCCCTTACTTCAGATCAACTGATAATGTGATTATGAACTTTAATGATATCTACAAAACACCTTCAAAGCAACACCTAAATTGATGTTCCATTGAATAATTGGGAACTATGGTCTAGCCAAGTTGACACATCCAAAAAGCAGCACAGCACTTTTCAATACTTGCTTTACCATAGCAAATTTGAAATGTCTTAGGTCTTATCCACCTGACATCTCACCACTGTTTTTTTTTCCTGAAAACATTGTGTTGTTTTCTATGAGTTCTAGCCTGACTACCTGACTCTGGCTCATGGTATCTACCTGATCTTACATTTCTGTAACATTTTATTTTTCCAGATCTAGGGGAAGCTGACAACAAATGTGATTACCGTTGTGTAACTGATTCCCTACATAAAATAGACTCTGTTTAAATATTTGACATACTTGCTGTTTTCCTAACAGGACTCTGATTAAGGGAGTAAGTAAAGCATGGTATAACACCTAATTCTTTATAAGAACTCAATGAATGCTAGTTATTTAAAATATGTATGAATAGCTGAGTTTAGATTCAGCATTGGTGACATTTATGTGTTTTCATTTTTCTTCCATCTATAGCTACCTTTCTATCCACTCATCTGCTCATTGCTGTATTCTTCCCACAGAGTAGACCCTGATCTACCAAAGCTATCACCATCCCTGTTAACGGCTACTCCAGTTTTCTAGTTACATAGGTCAAAACACTGAAAGTAATCTTGACTCCTCTCACATACCATATCCAATATGTCATCAAATTCCATTAACTTTCCCTTCAAAATATTTGTACTTCTCAACAACATCTGCTCTATTACTAGCTTGGTCTAAGCCACCTTCATTTTAATTCTTTACTGCATATTACTAATAATGTGCATGATAATCTTTCATACATGTGAACAAAATAATACAAAGTTTACTTGAAAATATTGGTTTTGTCTGTGCCTCTGGCATATTCTTTTCCCTCTGCCGAGAATATTCTCTCCTGGATTCCATATGTTTTTTTCTTACAATTCCTTGAGCTCATTACTCAATAGTCAACTTCTCAGTTCAGCCTTTCTTGGCCACCACTTCTTATATTTCAACCTCTATCCACTCCTTGCTTTATTTTTTCTCCTTTATCCTTTATCTTGTTTATTATCTCTATTCCCCTTTTTAGTAGGTCAGCTTTATAAGGATATTATTCTTGTCCATTTGTTAAACAGGTTTTCTTGGGAAAATATTGACCTTTCTTAGTCTGTTTCCTTACTTATAATTGGAGATATTTTGGCTATTTATTATTGTGTAACAAATTACTATAAAACTCAGTGTCTTAAAACAATAACCATTAACTATTTTATTATATCTCATGATTTCATGAGTCATTACTTTGGGCAGGGCTTAGCTGGACAATTTCTTTGCTCCATGAGGTATTGACTAAGAATCATTCAACGGTATTCGTCTGGGAGATAGTCTAGTCTAGAGCATCCTAGATGACTTCACTCCCTCCCTGAGCTGGAACCTGTGTGGAGAGAATGTTTGGGCTCTGCTGGCACTAGTCAGCTTTATACACGGCCTCTCTAGCATGGTGCTCTCAGAGTAATTGGACTTCATTGTCTTCCAGACCCCTGGAGAGAGTTTTCCAAGAGAAAGGAAATGGAAGCTGTCAGTCTTTTTAGGCGTCAGGGGAACCTGGTACAGTATCACTTCTGCTATGTTCTTTTTATGATAGCAATCACAGAGATGACCTATATTCAAGGTGAGGACACAGACTCCAGCTCTTGATGGGAAGAATGACAAAGAGTTTATAGCCATCCTTTATTTGCCTCAGAGAATATTATTTCCTACCTCAATAGAGTTATGAGAATTAAATAAATTTAATATATAGTCATCCATTGCTTAATGACTGGGATACATTCTGAGAAATAGATCAACTGGTAATTTTGTTGTTGTATAAACAACATAGTGTACTTATGCAAACCTAAAGGGTATAGCCTGCTGAAAACCTAAGCTATAAGGTATAGCTTATTGCTCCCAGGCTACAAACCTGTACAATATATTATTGTACTGTACGCATGTAACACAATTTTAGCTATTTGTGTACCTAAACATATCTAAACATAGAAAAAGTACAGCAAAAATACAGTATTATAATCTTATGAGACCACTGTCATATATATGATCTATTATTGACCAAAATCTCATTATGCAGTGCATGACTGTATATGTCAACTTTATTGAAATACTTGAAAAAGTTAGGAAGCAAGAATTTTTTATTATCTCTTACCAACTGATCCTGCCAATTGTCACCTTTTTAGGGTTCATTTATCTGTAATCCTGTATAAAATCTCTGGCAGATATCACAGAACATTTAGTCATTCTCAGGTACTCCAAGAATACTTTCTTTTCCCAGGTTTTAATAACAACAGATCAGTCCATAGACGTTGAAACACAGGATTCTCATTCAATTAAAAACTTTTCTTTTCCCTTATCCTCTAGTGTGAATGGGATTCTACTATGATTTCAAGTGACACTTCCATTACCAGATGGTTGTTCTGTAACACAATGGGAGATGGGAAAGTTATTAGACAAAGGAGATCTTACTTGTAATCTTGCAGTGATGCTTTCTAGGTGTGGTGGATATCTGAAACCATTTACATTATTCCCTGAATCACTTCTATGAATCTTTGACTTCAGTTCCTTGGTGCAGGTGATAATTTCAAGCTGGTAACATCCAATCCCCTTTAGCTCTTCCTTCTAATCCTAGCTTCTTTATGCCAAGGTCTTCTTAATCTTTGAAGAAAAGAGATTGGCATAGGGTAATTTCTCTTCTCTCTTTCTATTTTTTTTTTTTTTTGAGACAGGGTCTAATTCTGTCACCCAGGCTGGAGTGCAGTGGCCTGATCATGGCTTACTTGCAGCTTTGACATTCTGGGCTCAAGCAATCCTTCCATCTCAGCCTCCTGAGTAGCTGGGACTACAAGCACGCAGCACCACGCCCAGCTAATTTTTATATTTTTGGAGAGATGGGGCATCATCATGTTGCCAAGGCTGATCTCGAATGTCTGAGCTCTAGCAATCCACTCACCTCAGCTTTCCGAAGTGCTGGGATTACAGGCATTAGCCACCGTGCCCAGCTGAGTCATTTTCAAGACAATTCACAGTGATCTCTTTTCCGACAGATGGAAATCACACAGGTGTCCTTAGCCAGCCAAACTCTGAAAAGGTGGCTTGCTTCAGTGAAGACTATTTTATTCTGCTGCTGTAGACTATTTCAGCTAGTCAAAACTGCTAATGTTAGACATTTTAGGCATGAGTCAGATACCAGTCACTGCATCCCTCAAATTTCAGGAGATGCATATCATATCAGGCTCTCCAAACTCTGAAAGCATCTCTTCCTCTCAGGCAAGAGCAAAGTTATCTCCTCTCATTCTGTTTTTCATAGCGGTTGACATGGAGCAGCGGAATACAGGAAATACTGACAATTTCTCCAAAGCAGTTCTCATGTCTGCTTTCTCTAATCCTTCACATCTTTTTTTAATCCTTGAGGTAGATGGTGAGTTAAGAATTTCAGTACCATTTTTACAATATTTTTTCTAGACAGGGTCTCTCTTTGTTGCCTGGGCTGGAGTAGAGTGGCATAGTCATAGTTCACTACAGTGATCCTTCCACCTCAGACTCCCAAGAAGTTGGGATTATAGGTGTGAGCCACTGTTACTGGCTGCAATACCACTTTTATAATTTTTAAACCATGATAAGTGTTATGATCTACATTTTTGTACCCTTTCCCCACCAAAGTGATATGGTGAAATCCTTACCTCCAATGTGATGGTATTAGGAGACAGGGCCTTTGGGAAATAATTAGATTGGGAGGTACTTCAATTGGGAGGTAATACCAATCTCATATGTGGGATTAGTGTTCACATAAAAGAGACCCCATAGAGCTCTTTCTGCTTTCTACCATGTAAAGATACAAAAAGAACTTGGCATTCTATAACTTGGAAGTGTCCTCACTAGACACTGAATCTATGGGCATCTTGATCTTGAACTTCTCAGGCTCTCAAACTGTGAGAAATAAATATTGGTTGTTTAAGTTACTCAGTCTATGGTATTCTCTTATAGCAGCCTAAACTGACAATGCCACTTTGCCTTTGTGGTCTGATACTTTGGCTTTTTGAAAACATGGCACCAAAATTTTGGTGTCCATTAATAGGAAGATCTATGTTATTTTGAATATGGGTGGGGTTTGATCAATACAATATATTAAAAGTAACACTGCGTGACTTTTGATGCTGGGTCATGAAAAGAGATGAGGCTTCTGCCTTGTTTGCTGAAACACTTGCACTGGATTCCCTGAGCTTCATGTAAGTGGCCAAGTACCCTGACGTGGCCATACTATGAGGAAGCCAAGATACCTGGAGAAGACACAGGGAGGAACTCCAGCTGTCAATTCTAGTCCTTGAATCCTCCAGCCCAAGTGCCAGGAGTGTGCATGAATGAGCCTTCAGGTGATTTTGGTCTCTGGGTTTCGAATTACCCCCTGCCTTGGAATCGGCTGAGGCCTTGGATACTGCATTCAAATTCCCAACCCACAGAATTTGTCAGCACAATCAAAGGGCTGTCTTCAGCTGCTAAATGTTGGTTTCATTTGTCACCTGGTAATAACCAGAAGAGGTACCTGTTGTGCTCCCTGCCATCCCAACTTTAAATCTCAACCAAAGCCAAGTAAGAAAGATTCCCATATGAATGACTACTATTACTCAAAGTACCTGGAACATGACATGTACCTAATAAAAGATAGTTGTTATTCTTGTTACTTGTGACAGCACAAGAAACAAAAATGTCCTTTTCTTCTCAATATGACAGGATCCAGGGCTTTTTAAAACTGTTTTTCAAAACAGTGTCAGTAGGAATAAGAAATGGCCACTCAGCCTGTTTGTACTATTCCATGCTTTTCCAAGGGATTTGCTTATTGGTGTGTAGCATACTGCACCATTCATATGTCATATAATCTGCCCCATGATCAAGGATCAGCACTTCTGCTGTACACAGTCTGTCAAGTGCAGATAATAGTGCCTGGGAGAAAATTGCAGGACTACATCCAAAATAAATATAGGAAAATGTTATCAGATCAGCAACCAAAATGCCAAAAGTGATGGAAATGCTTGGATAGCATCTGCTCCCACCCACCACTTCTAGCTCGCATGGAGTCTGAAGGATCAAATAATCATGGAGAGCTCTGTGGAGGCCAGTGTGGTATTTGATGAGAATGGCTCACATCTTCAGACCTGATGTCAGAAATTCACATGCACCAAGGGACTCAACCACACAAGAAATTCACTTTGTTTTTGCAGTGAATTTGCTCCTAATAAGTTGCAAGCAAATGAAAATTTAGCAAATGTTAAATATACAAGAAAAGCACACTAGTTCAAACAATTTTTATTTTAATAAAGCAAAAAAGGCCAGGTGCAGTGGCTCATACATATAATCCCAGCACTTTGGGAGGCCAAGGCAGGCGGATCACAAGGTCAGGAGTTCGAGACCAGCCTGGCCAACATGGTGAAACCCCGTCTTTAGTAAAAAAATACAAACATTAGCGAGGTATGGTGGCAGGCACCTGTAACCCCAGCTACTTGGGAGGCTGAGGCAGAAGAATTGCTTGAACCCGGGAGGCGGAGGTTGCAGTGAGCCGAGATCATGCCACTGCACTCCAGCCTGGGCGACAGAGCAAGACTCCATCTAAAAAAAAAAAAAAAAAAAAAGCAAAAAATTTCAGCAGTTTGATGAACCCATTTTTAATATATTCTAGTCCAAATTTCTCAATCCCATTTATTATATTGTTGTGAATACCTGCAGAGGCATTTGCTTAGCCCCTTACCTAATTCTAAATAACTCCTCATATGAGCCTTATGGTGATATGTTGGTCCTATATAAACCAAACCTAAAATGTCTCCATTAAAGAGGCTAGCCAGGGGAAATATTCTTATTGTATCATCTTGGGCCTAATGCCCATTTTTGTATCAATCAATTAGGTACAAAATTGCTACTGGAATCCACAAGGATGGGTGTATAAGGAGGTCTTTCAGTATAAGACAAGGCACTAAACAAATAATTTCCTGGGTATCCACTATAAGAAGTAAGGAGGATGAAATTATCTATCTACTGAGTAGAGACAGCCTGTCAGCAGTGAGCATGGAGAATGGAGCCAACCCAGGCAGTGGAGCAGAGAGGAATGATGCAGAGGCAATCTTGATACCATTTAAGTTCTCAATTCCTTTCTTTATTGAAGCCAAAGAGATTCCTGAGAGTTGGATTTATGAGATATGTATCGTATTAGGTTTGTAATATATTCTTACTTTACTTAAGCTGGGAGCTATCTGTTTTTGTGTCTTGCTCCAAAAGAATTCTAATACACTTTCCTGCTGTTATCTTTCAACATTCCCCCTTCATCCTCTAAACTTTAGAAGAGCAAATGTTTCCTAGATCCCTGAATTGGGTATTATCTTTCCTCTTGCTAGATATTTGCACATGCTGCCCTCTCTGCCTTCTCACCTCTTACCTCTCCTGGCTCACCTGGCACGTTTGTGCCCATACTGCATATCTCATCTCAGAAATCCCTGGTTTTGGAAGCCATTCTTAACCTTTCACATCAGACATAACTTCCTCTCAATGCTCCCATATTTCCAGTATATCTCCTATCATACAGCGTATTTCACTAAATGTGCCCGTGTCTTCCACTATACTGTAAGCTCTTTAAGATGTAGAAATCTGGGTTCTTACTTACTATTACATCTCCAATTCCCACAATATTCTGGCACATGTAGGTGTTCAATAGCAATCCCTTGTATAAACGTGTAGGTTACTTAAAATAGGACACACACGCACACGCATGTACACACACTGTACTAAAGATATATAAATCACATTGGTTACAAGGATAACATACAATATAAAGTGTGAAGCAGCGTGTTTTGTTGTTATTGTTGTTGTTGAGACGGAGTTTCACTCTTTTTGCCCAGGCTGGAGTGCAATGGCGTGATCTCGGCTGACCGCAACCTCCACCTCCTGGGTTCAAGCATTTCTCCTGTCTCAGCCTCCCGAGTAGCTGGGATTACAGACATGCGCCACCACACCCAGCTAATTTTGTATTTTTTAGTAGAGATGGGGTTTCTCCATGTTGGAATGGTTTGTGCTTCTCTGTATTTTCTGAGCTTCATTTCCTTCTTTTCGTCCAACTGTAGTTGTTGTTGTTGTTTTCTGGATCTGTTTTTTAAAAAAGTCTTCTCATCCTCAAGATGCTTTTAGTTTCCCTCTGTTCCTGAAAGACTTAACAATTTTGTATCCTATCTCCTCATATTGTTCTTAGGACAGGGCACTAATTGACACATGAGCACATTAGCCATTGCCAGCATTCCAATGAGCCTTCTTTTTCCAGTAAATTCATATGCAGAATATAAGTGACTTTCTAAAGGAAATAGCTTAAACAAAAAATACGGGTTGCATCAAAAGAAATGTATTCAAATGCAGCCCTGTGGGAAGGTAATATTCTTAACCCATTTATGGGTTAAATATACTGCAGTATAGCCTGGGTGACAGAGGAAGACCTTGTCCTTTTTTAAAAAAAAAAATTTTTTTTTAATTAAAAGGAAAAAAATAAAATGCAAATTTGAAAAAAAAATAAGTGCACTTTGGTGTTAAAAACTTTTAGGAGTGTTTTCAGTCACAAGAAACGAATTCACTGCCAAATCAAACTTTAATATGTTTAACCCCTTTTGCAGGTAAGACCCTGTATTTCTCAAATCAAATAAAGAGCTGCCCATCCCCATCTTTCATAAGGTCACTCCTACCTGTGCATAATTATTAAATGTATCTCATATATGTATGGAGGTAATTCATTAATTATCCTTGGTTTTTAAGCTCATAAGAATTAGCACCTTGTAGATGATCAAGCACAAGAATATGCAATAAATATTTATGATGGTAACAAATAATAGGGCCCAAATCATTCTCCCATTCTGATTCTATTCTATTTAGTGAATTGCCCTTTCTCCCCAGAACACTTTAGTAAATATGACACTCAATGAAATATGAGGAAGCGGGGAAGATACAGCCAATCAAATTTGCTACACTCAGCTAAAGAGATGCAAATAGTTGTTAAAACACTCACTTTCAGAAAAGATCATATCCTTCAATCTCTTTACTAAGATCTTTGAGAATTTTGTTTGGTGAATTTTAAGGTTACCTCTGCTGTGCTTTATTCATACCCTTTTACAGCACTTTATCATTTTGTCTTATAATTTCATTTTCTGTTGATTTCCCCTATAGTATTGTAATGCATTCTAGGATATGGTCTTTGTTGTACTGATTTTGTATAACAAATGCCTGGTACTCCTTACGCACTAAATCAAATTCTGTGGTAAAATAAAGAAAATGCATTCTCCATATCATTATTTATATGAATGCTTTAATGACATTTAAAGAAAGTCTAGAGGTCAAATGATCTTTATTATTTCACCTTAAATTGAAGATGACATGAGATATTAATCAGGTTCTATTATATATTATCCATGGAAGAATGAATAC
Organism: Homo sapiens; assembly: GCF_000001405.40. Taxonomy (NCBI): domain Eukaryota; kingdom Metazoa; phylum Chordata; class Mammalia; order Primates; family Hominidae; genus Homo; species Homo sapiens. The sequence goes on along the minus strand of NC_000001.11, from coordinate 69,396,829 downwards.
ACAAACCTCATTTATTTATGTTAAAAAGCAAAGGCCAATACTGTGACTTTCACTCTTATCTGCTCATCTGTGAAAATGCTTACTTCTGCAATTTTGGTTCATGCTTTTTGGGGCTCCTGGAGATCACTATTAGCAATTGTATATATTGTTGGTCTCTATTGGCCCTCTGTATCTGTGAGTTACACATATGTGGATTCAGCCAACTCTGATAGAACATATTCAGGGAAAAAATTTCTACAAAGTTTCAAAAAGCAAAATATGAATTTGCTGTGCCCTGAGTGCTACATTAATCCCACGTGAATGAAGTGATGTGTAGGCATTGTGTTAGGTATTACACACAATCTAGAGATAATTTAGGTAATAGGAAAGATGTGTTTAGGTTATGTGCAAATACTGCATCATTTTATTAATATATGAGGGACTTGAATATCAATCAAATGTTGGTATCCATAGACGAGTCCTAGAACCAATTCTCCATGGATACCAAGGGAAGACTGTGTATAAAAAAAAGTTTATTAAAGAAGGTACCCTACAAGACTCAAAATTATCAGATCCTTATGGCAGTCTGAAATTTCAAGTTACTTAACCTTGTTCTCTGATTTAATCCTTCTCTATCCACTTGGGTTTATGCCTTTATTCTATCATATTCATTATGTTAAATTCCATCAGTTTTTCTGCATATTTTATGTATAGTTGCCTTTAATTTTAATTACTAAATAAATTCACTGCTATAAGTTCTCAATGATTATGTTCTACAGGCATATTTTTTTCACTCACCCATTTGTACATTCACTCCTTGAGTATGTATTAAATATCCATTTTGTAGAAGGCATTGGGCTAGGTGTTAGATATATAAAGACCAAGAAGGCAGTCAAGATAAAATGCAAATCTAGGGCCAGGTGTGCTGTCTCATGCCTGTAATCTCAACATTTTAAGAGGTTGAGGTGAGAGGATTGTTTGAGGCCAGGAGTTTCAAGACCAGCCTGGGCAATGTAGTGCAACCCCATCTCTACAAAAATTGTTTAAAAATAAGCCATGCATGGTGGAATATGCCTGTAGTCCCATCCACTTTGGAGACTGAGGTAAGAAGATCACTTGAGCCTAGACATTTGAGACTGCATATGATCACACCATTGCATTGTAGCCTGGGTGACAGAGGAAGGCCCTGTCTTTTGTAAAAAAAAAAAAAAAAAAAAAAAAAAAAAATTATAATTAAAAAGAGAAAGATAGGAGATTGTTCCAAGATGGCCGAATAGGAACAGCTCCAGTCTACAGCTCCCAGTGTGAGCAATGCAGAAGACAGGTGATTTCTGCATTTCCAACTGAGGTACCGGGTTCATCTCACTGGGACTTGTTGGACAGTGGGTGCAGCCCACGGAGTGTGAGCCGAAGCAGGGCAGGGTATTGCTTCACCCGGGAAGTGCAAGGGGTCAGGGGATTCCCTTTCCTAGCCAAGGGAAGCCATGACAGATGGTACCTGGAAAATGGGGACACTCCCACCCTAATATGGTGCTTTTCCAATGGTCTTAGCAAGCGACACACCAGGAGATTATATCCCGTGCATGGCTCAGGGGGTCTCACACCCATGGAGCCTTGCTCACTGCTAGCACAGCAGTCCGAGATGGAACTGTGAGGTGGCAGCGAGGCTGGGGGAGGGGCGTCTGCTATTGCTGAGGCTTGACTAAATAAACAAAGCGGCCAGGAAGCTCAAACTGGGTGGAGCCCACTGCAGCTCAATGAGGCCTGCCTGCCTCTGTAGACTCCACCTTTGGGGGCAGGGCATAGCTGAACAAAAGGCACCAGAAACTTCTGCAGACTTAAACCGCCCTGTCTGACAGCTTTGAAGAGAGCAGTTGTTCTCCCAGCATGGAGTTTGAGATCTGAGAATGGACAGACTGCCTCCTCAAGTGGGTCCCTGACCCCCGAGTAGCCTAACCAGGAGACACCTCCCAGTAGGGGCCGACTGACACCTCATACATTCAGGTGCCCCTTTGAGACGAAGCTTCCAGAGGAAGGATCAGGGAGCAACATTTGCTGTTCTGCAATATTTCTGTTCTGCAGCCTCTGCTGGTGATACCTAGGCAAACAGGGTCTGGAGTGGACCTCCAGCATACTCCAACAGACCTGCAGCTGAGGGTCCTGACTATTAGAAAGAAAACTAACAAACAGAAAGGAATAGCATCAACAGCAACAAAAAGGACATCCACACCAAAACCCCATCTGTAGGTCACCATCATCAAAGACCGAAGGTAGATAAAACCACAAAGATGGGGCGAAACCAGAGCAGAAAAGCTGAAAATTCTAAAAATCAGAGTGCCTCTTCTCCTCCAAAGGATCGTAGCTCCTCACCCGTAATGGAACAAAGCTGGATGGAGAATGACTTTGATGAGTTGACAGAAGTAGGCTTCAGAAGATCGGTAATAACAAACTTCTCTGAGCTAAAGGGGGATGCTCAAACCCATCACAAAGAAGCTAAACAACTTGAAAAAAGATTAGATGAATGGCTTACTAGAATAAACAGAGTAGAGAAGACCTTAAATGACCTGATGGAGCTGAAAACCATGGCACAAGAACTATGTGATCAATGCACAAGCTTCAGTAGATGATTAGATCAAGTGGAAGAAAGGGTATCATGATTGACGATCAAATGAATTAAAGTGAGAAGAGAAGTTCAGAGGAAAAAGAGAAAAAAGAAACGAACAAAGCCTTCAAGAAATGTGGGACTATGTGAAAAGACAAAATCTATGTTTGATTGGTGTACCTGAAAGTGACGGGGAGAATGGAACCAAGTTGGAAAACACTCTGCAGGATATTAGCCAGGAGAACTTCCCCAACCTAGCAAGGCAGGCCAACATTCAAATTCAGGAAATACAGAGAACACCACAAAGATACTCCTCGAGAAGAACAACTCCAAGACACATAATTGTCAGATTCACCAAGGTTGAAATGAAGGAAAAAATGTTAAGGGCAGCCAGAGAGAAAGGTCAGGTTACCCACAAAGGGAAGCCCATCAGACTAACAGCAGATCTCTCAGCAGAAACTCTACAAGGCAGAAGAGAGTGGGGGCCAATATTCAACATTCTTAAAGAAAAGAATTTTCAAACCAGAATTTCATATCCAGCCAAACTAAGCTTCATAAGTGAAGGAGAAATAAAATCCTTTATAGACAAGCAAATGCTGAGAGATTTTATCATCATCAGGCCTGCCTTGCAAGAGCTACTGAAGGAAGCACTAAACACGGAAAGGAAAAACCGGTACCAGCCACTGCAAAAGCATGCCAAATTGTAAAGACCATCAATGCTAGGAAGAAACTGCATCAACTACCAAGCAAAATAACCAGCTAACATCATAATGACAGGATCAAATTCACACATAACAATGTTAACCTTAAATGTAAATGGGTTAAATGCCCCAATGAAAAGACAAAGACTGGCAAATTGGATAAAGAGTCAAGACCCATCAGTATGCTGTATTCAGGAGACCCATCTCACGTGCAGAGACACACATAGGCTCAGAATAAAGGGATGGAGGAAGATATACAAGCAAATGGAAAACAAAAAAAGCAGGGGTTGCAATCCTCATCTCTGATAAAACAGACTTTAAACCAACAAAGATCAAAAGAGACAAAGAAGGCCATTAAATAATGGCAAAGGGATCAATTCAATAAGAAGAGCTAACTATCTTAAATATATATGCACTCACTACAGGAGTGCCCAGATTCATAAAGCAAGTCCTTAGAGACCTACAAAGAGACTTAGACTCCCACACGATAATAATGGGAGACTTTAACACCCCTCTGTCAACATTAGACAGATCAAGGAGACAAAGATAACAAGGATATCTAGGACTTGAACTCAGCTCTGAACCAAGCGGACCTAATAGACATCTACAGAACTCACCACCCCAGATCAACAGAATACATTCTTCTCAGCACCACATCACACTTATTCCAAAATTGACCACATAGTTGGAAATAAAGCACTCCTCAGCAAATGTAAAAGAAATTATAACAAACTGTCTCTCAGACCATAGTGCAATCAAATTAGAACTCAGGATTAAGAAACTCACTCAAAACTGCACAACTACATGGAAACTGAGCAACCTGCTCCTGAATGACTACTGGGAACATAACGAAATGAAGGCAGAAATAGAGATGTTCTTTGAAACCAATGAGAACAAAGACACAACATACCAGAATCTCTGGGACACATTTAAAGCCGTGTGTAGAGGGAAATTTATAGCACTAAATGTCCACAAGAGAAAGCAGGAAAGATCTAAAATCGCCACCCTAACATCAAAATTAAAAGAACTAGAAAAGCAAGAGCAAACACATTCAAAAGCTAGCAGAAGGCAAGAAATAACTAAGATCAGAGCAGAACTGAAGGAGACAAGAGACACAAAAAAACCTTCAAAAACTCAATGAATCCAGGAGCTAGTCTTTTGAAAAGACCAACAAAATTGATAGACCGCCGCTAGCAAGACTAATAAGAAGAAAAGAGAGAAGAATCAAATGGATGTAATAAAAAATTATAAAGGGGATATTACCACCATTCCCACAGAAATACAAATTACCGTCAGAGAATACTATAAACACCTCTATGCAAATAAACTAGAAAATCTAGATGAAATGGATAAATTCCTCGACACATACATCCTCCCAAGACTTAACCAGGAAGAAGTTGAATCCCTGAATAGACCGATAACAGGCTCTGAAATTGAGGCAATAATTAATATCTTACCAACCAAAAAAAGTCCAGGACCAGACGGATTCACAGCCGAATTCTACCAGAGGTAAAAAGAGGCACTGGTACCATTCCTTCTGAAACTATTCCAATCAATAGAAAAAGAGGGAATCCTCCCTAACTCATTTTATGAGGCCAGCATCATCCTGATACCAAAGCCGGGCAGAGAAACAACAATAAAAGCTAATTTTAGACCAACATCCCTGATGAACATCAATGCAAAAATCCTCAACAAAATACTGGCAAACCGAATCCAGCAGCACATCAAAGAGCTTATCCACCATGATCAAGTTGGCTTCATCCCTGGGACGCAAGGCTGGTTCAACATATGCAAATCAGTAAACATAATCCATCATATAAACAGAACCAAAGACAAAAACCACATGATTATCTCAATAGATGCAGAAAAGGCCTTCAAAAAAATTCAACAGCCCTTCATGCTAAAAACTCTCAATAAACAATTGATGGGACATATCTCAAAATAATAAGAGCTATTTATGACAAACCCACAGCCAATATCATACTGAATGGGCAAAAACTGGAAGCATTCTCTTTGAAAACTGGCACGAGACAGGGATGCCCCCCTCACCATTCCTATTCACCATAGTGTTGGAAATTCTGGCCAGGGCAATCAGGCAAGAGAAAGAAATAAAGGGCATTCAGTTAGGAAAAGAGGAAGTCAAATTGTCCCTGTTTGAAGATGACATGATTGTATATTTAGAACACCCTATCATCTCAGCCCAAAATCTCCTTAAGCTGATAAGCAACTTCAGCAAAGTCTCAGGATACAAAATCAATGTGCAAAAATCACAAGCATTCCTATACACCAACAACAGAGAAACAGAGAGCCAAATCAAGAGTGAACTCCCATTCACAACTGCTTCAAAGAGAATAAAATACCTAGGAATCCAACTTACAAGGGATGTGAAGGACCTCTTCAAGGAGAACTACAAACCACTGCTCAGTGAAATAAAAGAGGACACAAACAAATGGAAAAACATTCCATGCTCATGGATAGGAAGAATCAATATCGTGAAAATGGCCATAGTGACCAAAGTAATTTATAGATTTAATGCCATCCCCATCAAGCTACCAATGACTTTCTTCACAGAATTGGAAAAAGCTACCTTAAAGTTCATATGGAATCAAAAAAAAGCCTGCATTGCCAAGAGAATCCTAAGCCAAAAGAACAAAGCTGGAGGCATCACGCTACCTGACTTCAAGCTATACTACAGGGCTACAGTAACCAAAACAGCATGGTATGGTACCAAAAAAGAGATATAGACCAGTGGAACATAACAGAGCCCTCAGAAATTATACCACACATCTACAACCATCTGATCCTTGACAAACCTGACAAAAACAAGAAATGGGGAAATGATCCCCTATTTAATAAATGGTGCTGGGAAAACTGGCTAGCCATATGTAGAAAGCTGAAACTGGATCCCTTCCTTACACCTTATACAAAAATTAAGTCAAGATGGATTAAAGAATTAAATGGTAGACCTAAAACCATAAAAAGTCTGGCAGAAAACCTAGGCAATACCATTCCAGACATAGGCATGGGCAAGAACTTCATGACTAAAACACCAAAAGCAATGGCAACAAAAGCCAGAATAGACAAATGGGATCTAATTAAACTAAAGAGCTTCTGCACAGCAAAAGAAACTATAATCAGAGTGAACAGGCAACCTACAGAATGGGAGAAAATTTTTGCAATCTACCCATTTGACAAAGTGCTAATATCTAGAATCTACAAAGAACTTAAACAAATTTGCAAGAAAAAAGGAAACAACCTTATCAAAAAGTGGGCAAAGTATATGAACAAACACTTCTCAAAAGAAGACATTTATGCAGCCAAAAGACACATGAAAGAAAGCTCATCATCACCGGTCATTAGAGAAATGCAAATCAAAACCACAATGAGATACCATCTCACCCAGTTAGAATGGCAATCATTAAAAAGTTAGGAAACGACAGCTGCTGGAGAGGATGTGAAGAAATAGGAACACTTTTACACTTTTGGTGGGAGTGTAAACTAGTTCAACCATTGTGGAAGTCAGTGTGGCAATTACTCAAGGATCTAGAACTAGAAATACCATTTGACCCAGAGATCTCATTACTTGGTATATACTCAAAGGATTATAAATCATGCTTTTATAAGACACATGCACATGTATGTTTATTGCAGCAGTATTCACAATAGCAAAGACTTGGAACCAACCCAAATGTTCATCAATAATAGACTGGATTAAGAAAATGTGGCACATATACAACATGGAATACTATGCAGCCATAAAAAAGGACGAGTTCATGTCCTTTTTAGGGACATGGATGAAGCTGGAAACCATCATTCTCAGCAAACTATCACAAGGACAAAAAAATCAAACACCGCATGTTCTCACTCATAGGTGGGAATTGAACAATGAGAACACTTGGACACAAGGTGGGGAACATCACACACTGGGGCCTGTTGTGGGGTTGCGGGAGTGGGGAGGGATAACATTAGGAGGAATACCTAATGTAAATGGTGAGTTAATGGGTGCAGCACACCAACATGACACATGTATACAATGTAACAAACCTGCACGTTGTGCACATGTACCCTAGAACTTAAAGTATAATAACAAAAAAAGAAAGATAAAATGCAAATTAGAAAAAACAAATAAATGCACTTCGGTGTTAAAAACTTTTAGGAGTGTTTTCAGTCACAAGTAACAAAAGTTTAACTGGAACTAGCCTAAGCAAAAATGAAAACTTATGACCTCTGAGTGACCTATTCTGTATCACATGCCCATCCTGAACCATGGATGTGTCTAGATGGCAGCAAGTGGGGAGAGTCTCTCACTGGCCTGAGTTGAGTCATGAATTACTCCATATAAATTAGCTGTGGCCATTGGTTAGTGTCAGTGTTATGTACAGTGGTTACTTTCAAGATAATCATATAAATGTATATAATTACTAAAAAATGGGCATGGATATAAAAAAGTATTTTCCCAGTACAGTGTTAATATGTTTAGGAAACTGTGGTTATAAGTAAGAAGCTGTTATTACTACATATTAGGGGATGAAGTATGGGAAACTTCATAAATAAGTTGTACCTATAGCTTAAAGTCTTAAGCCATGAGTATGTGCTTGCTAGATAAATAAAAGTGGGGGTTAGAAAACTACTCCAGGAAAATGGAGCAGTTGGAGCAAAGGACTTGCCAGTGAAAGAGCCTGGTGATTTAAGGGTGTGGTGCATGGCTATGTGGGATTTATATCTGTGATGGTAGAAAAATGACTGAAGAGGGGGTTCTGTATGAAACACAAATTGGAGGGGCAGCCAGTCGCCAGAGAATAGATGTGTTCCATAGATTAGCTACAAATGTTTAAAGGAAATAAATTTTTCTACAATTAAAAATTTTCATGGAAGTCTGATATACAACTGGATAAGACATTGGTTTGCTCCAACTGAAGGCACAAAGGTGGATCCAGAAGCAGAGCTTACCCATCTTGCTCTTGCCACCCCATGACATTCTGTGGAGCACTTGGAGAACTACTGCTTTAGGAGAAGTGATGTTAGGCAATGGGTTGACAAAGCTGTATATTTGAAACAGCACTCTTTAACAGTACGATAGATAGGATGGAGACTCAAAATGAGCATATTAGTTAAGAGACTTTTAATAGTCCAGTGGAATGAAAATATAGGGCTATTTAAAGCTGGAATGGAAAGAAGGGAGCATTAGAACACTGTCTCTTAGAAATAACCATTTGCAGGATTCAAAGGGCTTAGTCCATAATGACACACACAGCAACTTGAGTGAATCTCAAATACATGTTTAGCAAAATAAGCCAGACACAAAAATGCACACACTGCACTATTTCATTTATATGACATTTTAGAAGAGGTAAAACCAATCTCTATGGAGAGAAACCTGTCAATGATTGCCTAGGGCCATGTGTGGTGGTGGTGAGGGATTTGTTGCAAAATGGCACAAGAGAATTGGTTTAGTTGATGTAGGTGTTGTAAATCCTTATTGTGATAGTGGTTTCATGGATATATAAAATTTTCAAACACCAAATTTATATTTTAAATGAGTGAATTGCATTGTTTGTAAATTATACCTTAATACAGTTGATTTAAGGAAGGAGAAAAACACTTCAATTCAGACTTCGATCTACTACTAAGTAACCAGGTGAGTAGGAACCCAGTACAACACCCTGTAAGTCCCATTTTCTACAACTACATGATAGGAATAGTAAATTACACTTGTCCAGCCTACAGAACAAGTTTGCTTACAAGCTAAAGTTAATAGATGATAGCTGCAAAAGCACCTTTAAAAATGCAAAGCACTAGAAATGAGTTATGAGATATTATTATTGTATCAAAAATTTGGGGATGATATTTTGTGGCTTATAAATAGTCTGGGATTAGATATACTTTGGAGGGCTGGTAAAGGGTCCACAAATCCCAAGTCACAATCCCCTTCTCTTGGTACAAAATTGAATCTAAATTATCCTGACTATTTTTATAAAAGAGATAAAGGGATTAAGTGGCAAATATATTACTCATTTTCTCAAATTTGGCTATAGAAAAAAATTATAAAAGGTATAATTCATTTATTAGCATAGTCTAGTTAAAATAAACTTGTTTCATCATTATCAAGAAACATTTGTAAATCATTTACTATTCACTGAAGCCTACATGACGAAAAAGAAGTATAAGCATTTTGGAGTTTAGATTAAATTTGATTTTTAAGCATTCATAATTTAACATTAAAGCCACCATATTGGAAGCACTCAGGAACCTAAAGAGATGGTGAACATGTTAGATACTCTAGATTTGTATAGTTGAAAATTATTTTAGAGATCATCTAGAATAATAAATCATATAGAAAACATTTGCTGCCATTTAAAATTATATGACATGGATATTCTATTTTAGTATATATGCATTATTTGGATTAGATTTCAATATACCTGTACAGGAAAAGAAAATTTGGGCATAGCTTTAGAAACTTTAGAAGTTCAGATGAAATGGGTCAGTAAGTAGCATAGGACCTATAAGAGTCATTCTCTTATGCTTCTAGGAAAGTACATTGTACTTGCTGTCTTTCAGTGTCTGGTTTGTGCCTGTTTCCTGTGGAAGGATGCATTCGTTTTCTGAGAAGAGGCATCATGGGTTAGTACTGGTAAATTTTCCAGAGTCCAGGCCTTCAGTTTTTAGTCTTCAAACTTAATTTTATGAAGATATCAAGAAGGAATATATTTTGTAGCCACAGATACCCATAAAGTGAATCGAAGAGTGATGAATGAAGAAAGAATAGCAATATCACAGTTTATGAGACGTATAACTACTGCAACAAAACAGAAAGTGGATGAAAATGATCAGTATACTTCCTCCAAAACATAATTAAACTATCACTTGGGGCAAAAAAAATAGAATAAAGGGCATTGGAGAAACCGGAAGTGTAGTGGTATAAAGCTATAATAATTTGTCACGTTTGTGTAATGGGAATGCTCTTTCCAATGCAGTAGAAACTGGAGCTACTCAAGACCCGTGACTATGGCTCCTCTATTCTGGCCAGTACTTCAGTGGAGACAACAGTCTTGCCTTTGTGACTCTTCTTGTATCATTATTCTGTGGCAGACCAGTCCCTCACCCCTTTCATTGATAGACTCTTTCTTTGTAATCACTCATATATTCAGTTAGATAACTTTGAATATGAATGCCCTGAATCATTATATATTGGCTGTTACAGAAACTTCTTGCCTTCTTGGAGAGCAATCTTATTTTCATAACTTCAAGTTCTTTATTTTCATTAAAATGATAAATGATTATAGTTACATGTTTTTCTTTTCTTTTTTTTTGAGACGGAGTCTCACTCTGTCACCCAGGCTGGAGTGCAGTGGTGCAATCTCAGCTCACTGCAAGCTCCTTCTCCCAGGTTCACGCCATTCTCCTGCCTCAGCCTCCTGAGTAACTGGGACTACAGGCCCCTGCCACCATGCCCGGCTAATTTTGTTTTGTACTTTTAGTAGAGATGGGGTTTCACCATGTTAGCCAGGATGGTCTTGATCTCCTGACCTCGTGATCTGCCCGCCTCAGCCTCCCAAAGTGTTGGGATTACAGGTGTGAGCCACCGCGCCCGGCCAGTTATATGTTTTTTAAAGAAGAACTTATATCATATATTTTTTGTGTTTCTCATCTCCCAGACTCTAGAGCAGAGTCTAATCACAATCACAGAATTGTTGATTGATTTATTTGCATGGCACAAAGTGAATTTTCTCTTTATCAGTCTAAACTAGCATCCATATGTTTAATATGGTGAATATTAAAAAAATATATGTATATAAACATATGTATATATGTAAAAAGAAATATGTATTAAACAAATATTTTCTGGGGACTCATTTGTTTCTAGTCAATCCTGGTGATATGCCAGAAAACTCCTTATTTCAGTCTTTAGAGAAATAGAGAAAACCATTCATTCTCTGTTTGTATCAGTCAAGGCTCATGTCACAGGTATCAGAAAGGCAAAAAGGAAATAATGTGCTAAGAAAACTGTTGGCACATCAAAAGGGCAGCTGGAGGTTAAGCATCTAAGATTAATTCCTGAACACCAACATAGAAAGGCCACTAAGGGAGTTGCTGCCTGTCTGATCAGGAAGCTTCTGGAGTCAGGAGCTGCTTCTTTAGTTCCTGGTTCCAGGATCATCCCAGCTCTGCTGAAGTCTGAAGATCAAGATGTTGCCATCAAACTCTTAGCTCTAAGACCCCACTACTCAGCACATCTTTGTTTCATGCCAGCAAATGAATGTCCTTCCTTGAATTCTCCTTTCAATGCCTACATACGTGGGGACCAATTACTGAAACCTCTGATGATGCTAATAAAACCCAAACACCAAATTTCTCATCCTTGCTTTCCAGTAGTAACAAAAAAATTCCCAGCCGCAGGGATCCTGCATCACTTCTTACTTCTAAATCTCCAAAGGTGCACTGTCTTAGCAGAAGCTGGGTCACATATGGAGATAAGCTTACAGGGAACCTGAGAAGCAAGACTGGGACTAGTGCAAGGCAAGAAAGATATCCAGGGCACAAAGTTTAAGGAGGCACTCATTCTCACATGCCAGTCCCGTACTTGCATAAGCTTGAAGTTGAATGCCTCCTTAAATTTTGGGGCCTAGACACCTCACTTGTCTCATCCTAGTCCCCCCACCCCACGGTGAGAAGCTTTAAGTTTTTCAGCTTCCCCAATAGAGTGGATTGGAAGGGACTTGAAAAGCTAATCTGCAGTATTGGCCACAGTCTGCCTGATATGGTTTACCTGTGTCCCTACCCAAATCTCATCTTGAATTGTAACTCTCAGAATTGCCACGAGTCACGGGAGGAACCTTGTGGGAGGTAATTGAATCATGGAGGTAGGTCTTTCCCATGCTGTTCTTGTGATAGTGAATGAGTCTCACAAGATCTGATAGTTTTAAAAATGGGAGTTTCCCTGCACAAGCTCTCTTCTCTTGTCTTCCACCATGTGAGGCACATCTTTCACCTTCCACCACAATTGTGAGGCCTTCCCAGCCATGTGAAACTTTACGTCTATTAAACCTTTTCCTTTTGTGAATTGCCCAGTCTTGGGTATGTCTTTATCAGTAGCATGAGAATGAACTAATACAGTAAATTGGTACCAGTAGAGTGGGGCGCTGCTGAAAAGGTACCTGAAAATGTGGAAGCAACTTTGGAACTGAGTAACAGGCAGAGGTTGGAACAGTTTAGCGATCTCAGAATAAGACAGAGAAATGTGGGAAAGTTTGGAACTTCCTAGAGACTTGTTGAATGGCTTTGGCCAAAGTGCTGATAGCAATACAGACAATGAAATCCAGGCTGAGATGGTCTCAGATGGAGATGAGGAACTTGTTGGGAATTGGAGTAAAGGTGACTTACTATTTTTCTTTTTTTTTTTTTTCTTTGAGACAGAGTCTCACTCTGTCATCTAGGCTGGAGACACACAGAGGCACAATCTCAGCTCACTACAACCTCTGCCTCCTGGGTTCAAGCTATTCTCCTGCGTCAGCCTCCCAAGTAGCTGGGATTACAGATGTGTGTCACCATGCCCAGCAAATTTTTGAATTTTTAGTAGAGATGGGGTTTCACCATGTTGGCCACGCTGGTCTCAAACTCCTGACCCCAGGTGATCCACCTGCCTCGGCCTCCCAAAGTGCTGGGATTACAGCTGTGAGCCACCACGCCCAGCCGACTCTTGCTATATTTTAGCAAAGAGACTGGTGGCATTTGCCCCATCCTAGAGATCTGTGGAACTTTGAACTTGGGAGAGATGATTAAGGGTATTTCTAAGCAGTGAAGCATTCAAGAGGTGACTTGGGTGCTGTTAAAGCCATTCAGTTTTAAAAGGGAAACAGAGCACGCAAGTTTGGAAAATTTGCAGCCTGACAATGCAATAGAAAAGAAAATCTCATTTTCTGAGGAAAAATTCAAGCTGGCTGCAGGTACTTGCAGGAGTAATTAGGAGCCAAATGTAAATCCCCAAGACAATGGGGAAAAATGTCCTCAGGGCTTGTCAGAGGTCTTCACAGTAGTCCCACTCATCACAGGCCATGAGGAAAAAGTGGTTTTCTGGGCTGGGCCCAGGGTCCCCATGCTGTGTGCAGCCAAGGGACTTTGTGCCCCATGTCCCAGCCACTCCAGCCCTGGCTGAAAGGGGCGAACATAGAGCTTGGGCTGTGGCTTCAGAGGGCGCAAGCCTCAGACCTTGGCAGCTTCCATGTGGTGTTGAGCCTGAGAGTGCACAGAAGTCAAGAATTGGGTTTTAGGAACCTCCGCCTAGATATCAGAGGGTGTATGGAAATGCCTGGGTGCCCAGGTAGAAGTTTACTTTAGGGGTGGGGTCCTCATGGAGAACCTCTGCTAGGGTAGTACAGAAGGGAAATGTGGGGTGGGAGTCCCCACACAGAGTCCCTACTAGGGCACCACCTAGTAGAGCTGTAAGAAGAGGGCCACCATCCTCCAGACTCCAGAATGGTAGATCCACTGACAGTTTACACTGTGTGCCTGAAAAAGCCACAGACACTCTACATCAGCCTGTGAAAGCAGCCAGGAGGGAGTCAGTACCCTGAAGAGCCACAAGGGCAGAGCTGCCCAAAACCATAGCAACCCATCTTTTGCATCAGCGTGACCCAGATGTGAGACATGGATTCAAAGGAGATCATTTTTGAGTTTTAAGATTTGACTGCCCTACTGGATTTCGGACTTGCCTGGGGCCTGTAGCCCCTTTGTTTTGGCCAATTTCTCCCATTTGGAATGGCTGTATTTACCCAATGCCTGTACTCCCACTGTATCTAGGAAGTAACTAACTTTCTTTTGATCTAACTGGCTCATATAGGCAGAAGGGACTTTTCTTGTCTCAGATGAGACTTTGAACTGAAATGAGTCATGACTTTGGGGGACTGTGGGGAAGGCAATATTGATTTTGAAGTGTGAGGACATAAGATTTGGGCGGGGCCAGGGGCAGAATGATATGGTTTGGCTGTGTCTCTACCCAAATCTCATTTTTAATTGTAACTCCCAGAATTCCCACGTATTGTGGGAGGAACCTGGTGGGAAGTAATTGAATCGTGGGGGCGATCTTTCCCATGCTGTTCTCATGACAGTGAATAAGTCTCAAGATCTGACGGTTTTAAAAATGGGAGTTTCCCTGCGCAAGCTCTCTTCTCTTGTCTGCCACAGTGTGAGACGTGTCTCTCACCTTCCACCATGATTGTGGGGCCTTTCCAGCCACATGGAACTGTAAGTCCATTAAACCTTTTCCTTTTGTGAATTGCCCAGTCTTCGGTATGTCTTCATCAGTAGCATGAAAACAAACTAATACAATGCCCTTTTTCCATTTATAATCTACCTAATCCTTCCTCCTCTTGTAAAACTACCAACAACAGCTCAATGTCAGACAAAGTCAACAAGCTTACTTTTGTCTACCACAATGCAGTGATTCTATAAATAAGTGAAAATTTACTCACTTTTTCTCTAGTTTAAATAAAAGACAATTGTTAATACTTGTAAAATGCCCATAAGAAAACAAAATATACTGAGACCATAATATTCAGTAATCTGCCTGTTATTTTATCTCTTGTTGTTGGATAATTTTAGTAGCCATAGAAACATAGTTCTAGTCAATCTGCTTCATGTTAAAAAATAAGTTTTTGTTACTCTATATGTCACTTTTTTTTTTAACTAGGAAAGGAACTGTATTCTTCTGTAATTGAGACAATAATTATCTCATAGATAAAATATAAAAAACAAATGAACAACAACTATAACCATAACTTAGCCCTTGTGCCTAGTCAGAGAAGACATGATCAATGGAATAAATTGCAGCAAATATATTTATATATTACTGAAAGCTTCTCGAACTATTTTCCCTTTTGACAAAGAACACTCAGCTTACCTAGAATGATAGTAAGCATTTAATGGAGGAGACAGAATCAAGTCTATTTGTCTCTAACAGTTTCTCAGTTGATTTATTTGTGAAAGCAGATATTCATACTTAAAGAGAAATTTTTCCTTAATAAAACACTAACAAGATAAAAAATATACATATAGCATACTACAAATAAGTTCCAATGTCAAGATAAAGTGAGGAAGGAAAACAGTAAGTATCATAGTGAGAGTAAGAATTGCAATTTTAAGTGGGGCATCCCTGGAATGCATTTTTAAGAAGGAGACTTTCTAGTAATAACCCAAAGACTGTGAAGGAGGAAGAGGGAACACATGCACATATTTTGGGGAAAGAGTAGAGGATACATCAAACAAAAACATGAGGTAGAAGCATGACTGGAGTGTTAGAGGAGTAAAAAGGGGTCCAGTGTGACTGGGACTGTGGTAGAGTAGAAGTGGGATGGAAAGGGAGATGGAGAAGATCACTGGGAGCCAGAAAGTGTAAGACTTTTTGTTTTGATCATTTGTAAGGGCTAGGCATTCTAAAAATGTCCATTCAAGAAGTAAAAACAAACAGAGATCAAAAAAGGATAGGAACTTCCTTAAGCTGACATAGGACACATAAAAAAAAAATCTAGAGCGCATGCTACATATAAAGGTGAAATGTTGAAATTATTCTCTTTAATATCAGAGACAAGGCAAGGATGTCCACTTTCACAGTCTTGCCCCTTTTCCTTAATATTGCACTGAAGGTCCTGGCAGCACAGTTACGACAGCAACAGCAACAACAAATAAGCTATAGTGAGTAAAATGCAAAAAAAAACCTGTCATGATGGCAGATGATAAAATTGAAGTTAAAAATCCACAGATAGCATAGTAGAATTAATAAAAGACCTTAACAAGGATAATGGATACCAAACCAATATGTAAACTAAAAGTAATGATTGGCTAAACAATGTAATTTAAGATAAAACATTTATTATTTATAGGAAGAGGAAAAAGCAAATGCTATCTATAAATAAAGCTAAGAAAATAGTTCAAGAGCTTGGTGAAAAATATTTTGACATTGATTTGATGTTATACAAGACCTGAATATGAATAGGTGTCTACATCTTTAGTTAGGAACGTTCACTATAATAAAAATGCCACTTTTCTAAGGATCAGTTCTAATCAATATTCTCTCAGGATCTTTGTAAAATTTTACAAACTAGTTTTTAAAATTATTTGAGAGAATAAAGGGCCAAAACTAGTCCTGAAGAAGAATATTTTCTTAACTATAATAAAAATTACTGTGAAGCTATAGTAATTTTAATAATACCACATTGGTTCAAGAATAGAATTCTAGACAAATGCAACAGAACAGACAGTTCAGAAATGATCACATGCATATATGAAAATTTAACTTAATTTTTGATAGTTGGCAATGTATATCAATGGAGAGTAGTATGGTTTTTCATAAATGGTTCTGGGATCATTGTTTACCACTTGAGAAAAAATGTCAGATTAACTCTACATCATTTAAAGAATCAACTGTAGATGAATAAAAATGTAAGTGGGAATGGAGACTTATATAATTATTACAGGACAATTTATGACCTCAGGGAAGGAGACAGTTTATTAAGCAAGAAACAGAAAATGCTTACGATAGAGTGTAATATATTTTACATAAAATATATTATTGATTAAAATTATGAACTTTTGGTCATCAAAAGACATCATAGAGACTACAATGTACAAATTAAGAACTGAGAAAAAATTTCACAACATATATAACCAACAAAGGATTAGTATCCTACCAATCAATCAACAAGAAAAAAAGGAAACAACCAATTAAAATTGAACAACAACAACAAAAAGCAAACAGGCATTTCATAGAGGAGGTAGATGAATGACCTTTGAATACATGAACAGACGCTTAAATTTATTAGCAACCCCGGAAGTGTATATTGATGTTTCAATAACATATCATTTTAAAACACAATGTGTTGACAACCATGCAGCACAATGGCAACATTCATCCACTGCTCATGAGGTGAAAATTGCTGCAAACACTTTGGAAGATAACTTGCCAGTGTGTAGTAAAGTCGAATGGGCAAAATTCATTCCTAGGTGTATACATTGTGGAAAATTTTGCACATGTGCAGAAGGCAATTTACAAGGCAATAGCATTTGCAATAGAAAAAAGAAAAGTTTACATTTTAAATGCTGATCAGTTGTAGAATTAACAATTGTGCTCAGCAGTCAGAATAAATTAACTACAATTATGAATTAGATTAATTTAATTCCCAAAACATAATATTGGGAGGAATATATCATGTAACCAAACAAAATATAACCTTGTAATTTAAAAATGTGAAAATAGAAAACCCTAATTATATATTCCTTAGAGTCACCAGTATACATAGCAAAAACTACAGAAATGTAATGGGCTTATTAGCACACAAATCAGAATGGTAGTTTCCTTTTGAAGGTGAATAAGGCTGGTATAATTGAGGAGGGACACCCAGGGAACATGATAAAACTTTGAAAATGCTTGCCATGTCACTTCTTAACTTTAGTTATGGATTTCTAGTTATTTCTTTAGTTAATATTATTTATATTTGAATATATGTTTTCAAACTCTCTAAACCTAAGGTAAATATATTAGTCAGGTACATGTATTAGTATGTTTCTTCACAGAAACAGAACCAATAATTAATATATATATATTCCTTATTTATTTATAAGATATATATTCTTTAGTTCTTATTTATATATATTCCATATATTATAATATATATTCCATATATATGGAATATATATGTTTGTTGATACATATATGTTTTAATAATAAGTTTAACCAGCTATCTGGGCATCCTTTAGTCCAGTCAAGTTAACATATAAAATTAACTATCATGAATATTATTCCATATATATATATATATATAATGTATATAAATAAAAAACAAGGAATATATATGATATATATATAAATTCCTTATTGGTTCTGTTTCTCTGAAGAAATAGACTAATACATGTACCTTATTTCCCAAAAATAAGGAATATACATATGTATATTCTTTATTTATAGGTTTTTTATATATATATATATATATATATATTCCTACTTTTTGGGAAATGGCTCATAAGATTATGGTAGCTGAGCAGTTGACAATCTGGTCTACAAGCTAGAGGACTAAGAAAGCCAGTGGTATAATTTAGTTTGAGTCTGAAGACATGAGAACCAGGGGGCTAATAATGTGAGTCCCAGGGTCTAAAGGCAGAGAACTAGAAGATCCAAAACTAAGGGCATGAGAAGATGGATGTCCCAGCTCAAGAAGAGAGAAAATTCACCCTTCTTCCCTCCACTTTTTGTTCTATTGGGGCCCTCAATAGATTAGATGATGCCTACTCACACTGGTGAAGATAGACTTTTTTTTTCACTTGTTTAACTGATTCAAATGCTAATCTCTTATGGGAGCATCTTCAATAATACACTCAGAAATAATGTTTAACCAGCTATCTGGGCATCCCTTAGTCCAGTCAAGTTAACATATAAAATTAACCATCATCAATAACTAATAATTAAGTATTTTGAAACTAAAATAAATGTCATTATTATTTATTTATCATTATAAAATATTTTATCATTCTGAAGTGATTTCAGCACATATTTTTACATGAAGTTTTTTCTCATTATGAAAGAGATTTTATTGGCATGTAAATATCTTCGGTTTTACCTCTTTCAGCACAAAAATTCCAAGAACTACTGAATTCTAAATCAGATGCTCTGCCACTTGATTTATAGACAATATCTCAATTAATGCTCATGAACTCATGACACATCTGTTGTACTTCTATTTTGCAGATAAGAAACAATCTCAGGATAATGCAGTGCTAGCCCACTAACAAGGGATGGATTCGAAAATTAATCCCTGGTCTACATATACCAAAGTCAAAACTCTTCTCATAACACATGACCACCCCCATGCGGAGATGGATTGCTACACACCAGGGAAACAAACACAGTGCCCTCAATGGAATAACAGCTTAATAAATATTTGCTGAATAAAAGAATAAAGAAGTTTCCTAAAAATATAATCCCTACATGAACATTGTTTTATATTTTGTTTCTTGTTGGTGATATTTTTCCACCTTTAGTTATATCTCTATATGGCTGTGGAACATAGAAATGTATTCAATAATTGGAAATCACACTTTCTCATACATGGGAAATTTTAGGCAATATGCTAAATAAACAATTTTAACATAATCAAATTCTTCTAACTCTGTTTCTCTCTTTTTTCTTTTTTTTCCCCACGATACTAGAATATATTTTCCCTAAGAGCAGGGCTTTAGCAATACATTTTACAAATAGTGCTACTGAGTAATGATAAGCTCTGCTATGAAAATTTCATAGGATAAAAGTTTTAAGTTATTAAAAATGAAGTATTCCTCTGTGCTATCAATTGTATAATTTCAAAAGGCTACAAAGTAATTGTTTATGTAAAAGTCATATTATGCTGCATAGTAAAAACTTTTACTTATTAACATCAGGTTTCCTCAAATTCAAACTATACTCAATTTAGAGTCCAGAAACCATCTCTCCCTTTCTATTGAAGTAGCTATGCATGTTAAACAATTGCTGTTTGAATCGCTTCTTAATTTATAAGCAAGATTTAATTTGATAAGCAAGCATTTGTACTGTTTTCCAAGGCCTCTATCTTCCAGCTCAGGAATGTTTGGCTAATAGAATCAAAAGGCTTTTATTGTAGAATTAGTGAACTGAAAAAGAACATTTATTTGTATGTCATACATGTAGTATATTTTAAACCTATAAATAATGAAATAAAGTACTTAGATTTCATCTGAAAATAATATCTAGGTGATATAAGAGAATTGGTGCTGAGAGAGCCTGCTTATGAACTAGCTTATCGTTTTGTGGAAATTATAAAACAGCTACACATTAGGTGCCTTCTGTCTTAAATAGTGAAGAAAAGATAGATTTACCATCTTCTGGATTATTTATATTTAATATAGCTAAAACAATTAATCTGAATAATTTCACAATATCATTCCTTCCTTTCTTCCCACCTTTGCTTTCCCTTCCTTCCCTCCCTCCCTCCCTCCATCCCTCCCTCTCTCCCTCTCTCCTTCCTTCCTTCCTCTCCTCCTCCTCCTTCTTCTTCTTCCTTTCTTTTTGTTTCTTCTGTTTTCACTCAGTCTTATTTTTATCTTCCCTTCCATTCTCTTTTCTTCCAATTATCAGAAGAGAAAGGCAACAAAAGCAGAACTTCTAAACTTTATTATTGCAGTAAGAGAAATAGCCTCTTGGTTTTGAATAGTGAAGTAGCTTTAATGAAAGTTTAGTCCTTACAATAAATGATTGCCTTAATTTGCCACAAAATTTATAATTTGCAAATAACATATTCTGGAAATACTAGAGGAAGTTGGTGCCAGAGACTTCTAGAGACTAGAAAGTAGACCAGACATCTAATGTTAGCCGTAGGCCCACCTCATCCTACTTGTGTAATTTTAGGTAGCTGATCCAGTTTCCTTATTTATAAAATGGAGTATTTATTAAAGGAAACAAAAATGGGATTGTTTGTGTTAAAGAAAGTTAAAAATAACAAAGCGTCATATTCAGGTAAGGCATTATTCTTTGAGAGCAAGAGACTGTTTCTTGTCTACCCTCTAATGTTTGGAATTACATTGGCTGTAATTTTTTTATTCATTGTAATTCTATTTGACTAGATAAGGGAGTAATTGAAAATGGAAGTCTTCCAAACTGGCCTTTTGATAACAAGTTGATATATTTGATGTTAGGGGCATGCATATGAGAATATCGTTTCACCTAAGTAAAACCAGGAGAACACTCTGACTTACAACAGTAATCCTATTCAGTATTCAGCTTGTTAGCTATGTTGCAATTGGGAATATTTTAAACTGATTTTATATTAAATTCAAATGCATGATGTAGTACATAAATATTTATCCAAGCTATCAAATAAACCAAATTCTCAAAGTGACAGTAAATATATATGTATATATTTTAAAAGATTAAACCTACTCTGGTTTCATTTTTACTGTGTGTTCATAATCCTTCTTGTTTAACTTAGTTTGTCGGTCTACATTTGGAGATAAATTCAGTCTTAGGTCCAGTCACTCTCTCTAGCCTGAGTGTCATCAACACACACACACACACACACACACACACACACACACACATCTGCCTTGATTCTGTTTATTTTTCCCCCTTGGAAAGAAAGTGAAGATCTTGGGCTTGGAGTGGAGGGCACTTGGGTATCAGCATCTTCACTTTGCAAACTGTACTTGCTAAATGAAGCAGATTGGGAAACAAAAAGGTCAAAGAAGAGTCTCATAAAGGATTATGGAGACTCTGAAGATTTTATTGAGTGTGTCAAAATTCACTAAGCATTTGTAGAACATTACCTAGGATTTCTTTCCTTATTGCACTTGTCATGATTAATGTATTGAGATCTCATTTTCTCTCCTAGCTGCTCATGAACCTTTCTGGGGAGTCTTGTGTTGAACTTTAGTTGGGTTACTTATTCCCATAAGATTAGGTGAATCTGTATACTCTCTGGATTTCATCTATAAAATTATAATAACACTAAGCATAGGAATGCTGAGAAGATTTTTATTATTGTCTGTGAAAACATACATTGAAATTTAAATGGATGAATAATTCTTACCTTCTATATGTTTACTTTCCTCATATGAACAAAATTTATTCCCTGGAAACCACCAGAAGCAGCATGCCACATTTACATGTGCGGCTATGGGACTTTTTGTGCTCTTTGTCACTTGAACAGCATATGTAGTTATGGTTTTACTTTCCTGAGAAACAAAATAGGATGGCAAAGCAATAATCTTGCCAGCACTCAAGGGAAATACAGGTCAAGATTACTACATTTCTGGGTTATTTTAAAGAGAATATCCAGGAGCTGCTCCAAGATGGCCAACTAGACATAGTCAAGAGGAACATCTTCCACCAAGGGAATGGGACATTGGAAAGACTGGTGTACTTCTAGCACGTCTTCAGAGGAAAGGCATTGAGATTGAATGGAGGGAAGACACAGATACTGGGCTGGAGTTGGAGGAAGCTGGGAATGTTTCATGGGGATTCTGCACACCAAGACTCATTCCTGAGCCCCAGTGACTCCTGGAGAAGGGGTGAGTTGAACAAATAAGGAGCAACCTGCTCTCATGACACGTCTCTGGAATCCTGCCAAGAGGATGGGGTCCCAGGAACACCACAGACACTTGAGCTGACAGGGAGAGCTACTTAGGGAAGTGGTAGGGGCAGAACTCCAGCCCCTGCAAAGCCTAGAGGGCTTGGAACAGGAGCATTTGTAGGGAAACATGGCCAGGGACACTCAACCCCCAGACTCAGCTTCCTCCAATATGAGACTTCAGCCCTAGGGGAAAAGTTGAAACTGAACTCTGCAGGACAATCTTGCCCATGAGATGGGGCCAGTCTAACTTGAGCACTACTTGGTCTGCTGGCCTCTCCTGGGGCCCAGTATGGCTGTGCATGCTTGCACTGCAGCCCCTAGATACCTCCTGGGGGCCCACATCATAGCTCCTGTGCTAGTGGACTGTGCCTGACTGACAGGATGCTCCAGCAGAGCAGCCCCAGTGGAAACAAACCAGCTTACCCCTACTATCCCCTCCACTACAGCCTCACCCATGATGCTTTGCTTGCATGCAACCACCCATGACAACCCCTCAAGAAGCTTTGGGATGTTCTTGACTTCCCTTCCCCACCAGCATGCATGTTGCCACTGTTGCCAACAGGAGTGCACCCCTTCTCCACCACATCACCATTGTTGTCAGAGCATTGGAGGTCACCCTGTCTGCCAGTCCCACACCTGCCAGCATCCTGCCCCTGTGCTGACACTGCCACTGGCGTGAAACTAGACATGGAATACAAAGGACCTGCCCCTGGCCTGAGTGGCCACCACTACCGGTATGAATGTGCACAGACAGCACAAACCATCCTGCAGCCACCAGTGCCCTGCCCCCATGCTAACACCACCACGACACCAGCTAGAATGCATACAGTTGCTGATGGCATCCCCCAACCCCCTGAGCTGCAGTGCCACTGCTGCTGCTGCAAACGTCTGCATGGAGGCCTACAACCAGCACCCACTAGCACCCTGTCTCAGCTAACAAGGGGTACCCCTGCTGTGCTGGTGATGCTGCTGCTGCAGACAGATGTGAAGAAGGACAGATCCTGCTGCCGCCTATGTAGCAGAACCATGAAGTTCTTTGGCTGACACCGCCCATCAGAATGTTGTGACCTGTGGTTGGGGAGCAACTCAGTTTCTTCAGCACAGCAGGTCCTAACCTTGAGGGGCCAGATAACAAAGGCAAGACCTGATACCAGTCTCCCAGAGTTAGAGCACACAGTCCAGGAGTTATGAGCTGAGCCATGGCCCCCTAAAGTTTTCCAGAAATGAAGCCAGTCAACTAAAGCCCCCTTAAACCACAAGCAAACCCCCAACGTCATCAAACAGTAAGAAAAAATAAGACAGCAACCTCAAAGATTGAACATCAAGCCACAAAGATGGGAAAGAAACAGTGCAAAAACTGACAATTCAAAAAGTCAAGTGTCTTCCTTCCTCCAAACAACTGCACTAGCTCTCCAGCAAGAGTCCTTGACTGAGCTTAGATGGCTAAAATGTCACAAATATAATTCAGAATATGGATATGAATGAAGATCATTGAGATTCAGGAGAACAACAAAACCCAATCTAAGGAAGCTAAGAATCACAATGAAATGACACAAGAGCTGACAGACAAAATAGCCAATATAGGAAATAATGTAACCATCCTGACAGAGCTGGAAAACACACTACAAAAATTTCATAATGCAATTGCAAGTATTAATAGCAGAATAGACCCAGTGAAGGAAAAAATCTCAGAGCTTGAATTGAGACTGACTTTCTGATAAGAAAGTCAGATAAGAATAAAGAAAAAAAGAAAAAAAAGGCGTGAACAAAACCTCCGAGAAGTATGTGATTATGTAAAGAGACCAAATCTATGACTCATTGGCATCCTTGAAAGAGATGGAGAGAATGGAAGCAACATGGAAAACATATTTAAGGATATCATACATGAGAACTTCCCCAAACTAACTATAGAGGCCAAGATTCACATTCGGGAAATGCAGAGAGTACCTACAAAGTACTTCACAAGATCATCTCCCAGACACGTAATCATTAGATTCTTTAAGATTGAAATGAAAGAAAATATGTTAAAGGCAGCTAGAGAGAAAGGACAGGTCACCTATGGAGGGAAGCCCTTTACACTAACAGCAGACTCTCAGTAGAAACCCTACAAGCACAAGATATCAGAGGTCTATATTTAACATCTTTAAAGAAAATAAATTCTAACCAGGAATTTCATATGCAGCCAAGCTAAGCTTCATAAGCAAAGGAGAAATAAGACCCTTTTCAGACAAAGAGATGCTGAGGGAATTTGTTACCACCAGACCTGCCTTAAAACAGGGCCTGAAAAAAGCACTAACTATGAAAGGGAAAGACCTTTACCAGCCACTACAAAAAACACTAAGTACACAGAACACTAACACTATAAAGCAACCACAAAAACAAGGTGGCATAATAAACCGGTAGCAACATGATGAAAGTATCAAATCTACACATATCCATACTATCCTTGAATTTAAACGGGCTGCACACCCCAGTGAAGAGTCACAGAGTGACAAGCTGAATAAAGATGCAAGACCCAGTGGTATGCTGTCTTCAGAGACCCATCTCACATGCAATGACAAATACAGGCTCAAAAAAAGGGATGGAGAAAAATCTACCAAGCAAGTGAAAAATAGAAAAAAGGAGTGGTTACAATCCTAATTTCAGACAAAACAGAATTTAAACCAACAAAGATTTAAAAAGACAAAGAATGGCATTACATAATGGTAAGGGGTTCAATTTCATAGGAATACCTAATTATCCTAAACATATGTGTACCCAATGCAGGAGCACCCAGATTCATACAGCAAGTTCTTAGAGACCTTCCAAGAGACTTAGATTCCCACACAATAATAGCAGGAGACTTCAACATCCCACTGACAGTATTAGATAGATAATCGAGGGAGAAAATTAACAAAGAACTCAACACTGTACCAAATGGACGCGACACGTATCTGCAGAACCCTCCACCCCCAAACTAAAGAATATACATTCTTCTCATTGCCACATGGTGCATACTCTAAAATCAACCACACAATTAGACATAAAATAATCCTCAGCAAATGCAAAAAAAACCCCAAAAACAAAAAATTGAAATCATACCAACCACTCTCTAAGATCACAGTGCAAAAAAATAAAAAATAAATAAAACTCAAGACTAAGAAAATCATTCAAAACCATACAGTTACATGAAAAGTAAACAAGCTTATCCTAAATAACTTTTGGGTAAATATGAAACTGAGCAAGAAATCAAGAAGTTCTTTGAAATTAATGAGAAAAAAGATAAACATTACCAGAGTCTCTGAGACATACATAAAGCAGTGATAAGAGGGAAGTTTACAGTGCTAAATGCCCACATCCAAAAGTTAGAAAGATTGCACATTAACAACCTGACCACAACTAAAAAAAAAACTAGAGAAGCAAGAGCAAACCAACCCCAAAACTAGCAGAAGACAAGAAATAACCAAAATTAGAGCTGAGCTGAAGGAGCTTGAGACACAAAAAAACCTTCAAATAATCAATGAATCCAGGAGCTGGTGTTTCAAAAAAAAAAAAAAAAAAAACTAACAAAATAGATAGACTGCTAGCTAGACTGATAAAGGTGAAAAGAAAGAATATCCAAATAAACACAATTAGAAACAACAAAACGAATGTTACCACTGACCCCAGGGAAATACAAATAACCATCAGAGACAACTTGAACATCTCTATGCACATAAACTAAAAAATCTAGAAGAAATGGATAAATTCCTGGACACATACACCCTCCCAAGACTGAACCAGAAAGAAACTGATTCTCTGAATAGACCAAAAATTAGCTCCAATATTGAATCAGTAATAAATAGCCTACCAATCAACAAAAGCCCAGGACCAGACGAACTCACAGCTGAATTCTCCCAGATGCACAAAGAACTGGTTTCATTCCTACTTAAACTATTCCAAAAAATTGAGCAGGAAGGACTCCTCCTCAACTCATTCTATGAAGCCAGCATCATTCTGATACCAAAATCTGGTAGAGACACAACAAAAACAGAAAACTTCAGGCCAATATCCTTGATGAACATTGAAGCAAAAATCCTCACCTAAATACTGGCAAAGTGAATCCAGCAGCACATCATAAAGCTAATCCAGCATGATCAAGTAGGCTTTATCCCTGGGATGCAAGGTGAGTTCAACATATGCAAATCAATAAATGTGATTCATCACATAAACAGAGCTAAAGACAAGAACCACATGATCATCTCAATAATGTAGAAAGGCTTTCAGTAAAATTCAACATCCCTACATGTCAAAAATTCTCAATAAACCAGGAATTGAAGAAACATACCTCAAAATAGTAAAGGCCATCTATGACAACCTGAAAGCCAACAACATACTGAATAGAAAAAAAGCCTGAAGCATTATCCTTGAAAACTGGCACAAGACAAGAATGCCCTCTCTCACCCCTCCCATTCAACATAGTATTGAAAGTCCTGGTGAAAGTATCAGGCAAGAGAAAGAAATAATGGGCATCCAAATAAGAAGTGAGGAAGTCAAACTATCCCTGTTTGCAGAAGACATGATTCTACACCAAGAACACTCCATAGTCTCAGTGCAAAATATCCTTAAACTGATAACTTCAGTAAAGTTTCAGAATAAACAAATTAATGTGCAAAAATCATTAGCATTCTTATACACCAACAACACACAAGCTGATAGTGAAATCAAGAATGCAGTCTCATTCACAGTAGCCATGTAAAGAATAAAATATCTAGGAATACAGGTAGCCAGGGAGGTGAAACATCTCTACAACTAGAATTACAAAACATTGCTCAAAGAAATCAGAGATGACACGAACAAATGAAAAAGCATTCCACGCTCATGGATAAAAAGAATCAATATTGTTAAAATGGCAACACTGCTCAAAGTAATTTATAGATTCAATACTATTCCTATCAAACTACCAAAGAAATTCTTCATAGAACCAGAAAAATCTATTTTGAAATTCATATGGAACTAAAAAGAGCCCAGATAGCCAAGGCAATCCTAAGCAAAAAGAACAAAGCTGGAGGCATCACACTACCTAACTTCAAACTATACTATAGGGCTACAGTAACCAAAACAGCATGGTACTGGTACAAAACAGACACATAGACCAATGGAACAGAATAGAGAGCCCAGAAATAAGGCCACACACCTACAACCATCTGATCTTCGACACAGCTTACAAAAACAAGCAATGGGGAAAGGCATCCCTATTCAACAAATGGTGCTGGGATAACTGGCTAGCACTATGTGGAACACTGAAACTGGACTACTTCCTTACATCATATACAAAAATCAACTCAAGATGGATTAAAGACTTAAATGTAAAACCCAAAACTGTAAAAACCCTGGAAGACAACCTAGGCAATACTATTCTGGACAAAGGAACTGGCAAAGATTTTGTAACAAAGATGCCAAAAGTGATTGCACAAAAGCAAAAATTGACAAATGGAAGCTAATTAAACTAAAGAGCTTCTGCACAGCCAAAGAAACTATCAAGAGTAAACAGATAATCTACAGAATGGGAAAAATATTTGCAAACTACACAACTGATAGAGGTCTCATATCCAGCATCTATAAGTAACTTAAGTTTACAAGAAAAAAACAACCCCATTAAAAAGTGGGCAAAGGACATGAACAGACATTTTTCAAAAGAAGACATACAAGCAGCTAACAAGCATATGATGAAAACCTCAATATTACTGATGATTAGAGAAATGCAAATCAAACCACGATGAGATACCATCTCACATCAATCAGAATGGCTATTATTAAAAAGCAAAATATAGCAGATGCTGGTGAGGTTGCAGATAAAAAGGAATGCTTATACACTGCTGATGGGAGTGTAAATTAGTTCAACCATTGTGGAAAGCATTGTGGTGATTCCTCAAAGGTTAAAAACAGAACTACCATTCAATCCAGCAATCTCATTACTGGTGTATACCCAAAGGATTATAAATTGTTCTATTATAAAGACACATGCACATGTATGTTCATTGGAGCACTATTCACAATAGCAAAGTCATGGAATCAAGTTAAATGCCCATCATTGGTACACTGGATAAAGAAAATGTGGTACATATACACCACAGAATACTATGCAGCCATAAGAAAGAATAAGGTTATGTTCTTTGCAGGAACATGGATGGAGCTGAAGGCCATTATCCTTTGCAAACTAACACAGGAGCAAAATACCAAATACTGCATGTTCTCATTTATAAGTGGGAGGTAAATGATGAGAACACATGAAGACAAATAGGGGAAAAACAGACACTAGGGCCTATCTGAGGGTGGAGCGTGGGAGGAAGAAGAGGACTGAAAAGTACCTATTGGATACTATGTTCATTACCTGGGTGATGAAATAATATGTACAATGAGCTCCATGAAACGAGTTTATCATATAACAAACCTGCACATGTACCCTTGAACCTAAAATAAAAATTAAAAATAAAGTGAATATCTATTGTTACGACTGCACTTTCTGGCTTTGTGTGATAATAACAAGAACACACATTGTCTTCACCCCTCCCCTGGAAGAGTTTTCAGTCATGGTGTGAACCATGACCCATTCACAAGTTGGTCAATAAGAAATACTACATTTGCTTCAGTCTAATTGGTTAGTTGAGGCTTGTAAGCAAGATATAAGCTAGATAAAACAGATCTCCTTAAGACAGGCAATTAAAATATGACTGATTAGAATATATTCTTTTACCCCATATTCACATTTTCAGAAATTGTTCATCAGCCTCCATATCTTAAAAAATATAGAAGATTTAGAAAGAGAGAAATGCCTGACAATATTGGCATCAACAATCAAAAACAGTGGTCACAGAAGGATACTCTGCTAGTAATTTTAATACTCCATTTGTAACATTTCAAAGTTTTATTTACATATCAGATATGGTTCATTGTGCTAATTTATTTTAATTAACAAAATTAAATTCATTAAACAGATATAGTCTAAGCTGTTTGCATCAAGGTTGCCCAGGTTAGAGAAATAGTCCTTGGCTTCACAGTCACATGGGAAAGAGAAAGGTCATCTACCAAAAAGAAGAGACAGAAGGGTCATTCTTGTCCTGAAAGAATAGGTCCTTCTATAACATAGGTAGAAGAGGAAGAAGAGCAGCCCATGTTAAAGTTAGCTAGCATTTTATCTGCTTTGCAATCTCTATCCACAAATGAGTATCCTCAAACTTAAGTAATGCCTTCATTTTTTGCAGAGAGACTTTCTTGTTTATGCTGCAGGTACACTCTTGGATTGCACTTGGTAATGGAAGGGAAGGAATGAGGTTTGATTTTCTCTAATAGCAATTATTTTCTTCAAATAATAATCTCTTCCTTATATATTCTCAGCCAAAGTACTGAATGATATCTCTACATACACTTTTTCTCTAGGTGAACTTATTAGTACCCTTGTTTCAAGTCTTACCTTTATACTGATGTAGCTAAAATTTATAATTTCAGCCTATAAATCTTCCCTACATTATATACTTGTGTATCCAAATTTCTATATTTCTACTTGGATAGTTAATATTATGTGTAATGGAGAACCCTTGTTCTCCCAAATTTCCCTTTTCAAACTAACTACTTTTCTGTTAATACATACAACTTGAGAAAAAATTTTATTTATTCTTTTTAATCCATTACCCATATTGATTCTATATCCAAAATTTTCTATTTCATTATATCTCTCTCTCACTTGGTGATCAACCCAATACAAGAGACACTATCCTCATTTAGATTTCTGCAAGCTTTCCACACGCTTTCATTCAAGCCAATTTTCCTCACATAGCCATCAGATAGATCTTTCTCACATCCATATGCATAATCTAGCCATAACAAAGAGTATCCATTACCCATAAAGTGATATGCCTTTTCCATATTTTAAAATTTGTTCCTGGAGTTACCATATCCCCACTCATTTTTTTACTTGGAGGATTTCCATCCATCTTTTTTGATTCAACTCAAGCCTCACCTCCTCTCTGAACTGGTCCTGAAAAGGACCTGCCATTAGAGCTGTATTCTCTTGAACTTTAACAATATAAAGCTGTTTCTCTCCTCTCTGCCCCAATAGACTATGAAGTCTTTGAAGCCAAGGATTTTTTCTTTTTATCTTGCTTATCTTTAAATCCACCAGAGCCTAGCAGAAAACCTGGCAAAAGTTGTTGGTCAATGAATATTTAATGGAAGAATAAATGTTACCACATAAAAGGAATGATTTTACGCATTTAATATACATCATTTGAGAATTATTGAACATTATTGTGTTAACTAATCTATCAGGTATTTTGTAGTTATATTTCATTGCCAAATTTTGTAGTTACATTTTATTACCAACATCATCTTCACCATTAAGTAATTGACAAACATGTTTGCAACCTAAAATACTTTCTTATCTTTTATTATACTGTGAATATATAAAATAATTCATACGAAAACTGCCTTTAAAGAGAGAACGATCAAATCTCTGATACAGTTTCAATGCCTGATACTTTTATCTGTGAGTTGACATTTAAGGCATTTTCATCAGAGGAGATTTGAAGTCTGCATTTACAATGATGTTACAAGGGGCATCCATCCCTACAAGTGGTGAGATGTTTTAATCATCTATACGTAGGTAA
Organism: Homo sapiens; assembly: GCF_000001405.40. NCBI lineage: Eukaryota > Metazoa > Chordata > Mammalia > Primates > Hominidae > Homo > Homo sapiens. The sequence goes on along the minus strand of NC_000001.11, from coordinate 69,365,796 downwards.
GGAAGAAAGCTGCAGGGCTTAAAGAAAATAAGCAGCTCTGGCTCCAGATATATAGAAGTCACAATCCCTGTGCAAAATTAATGTTGATAAATATAAATCTGGAAGAGGTCTACATGTTTAAAAAATGTAAATGTTAGTGAGAGAAAGGAAAAAGCATTTTTTAAAGAAGAACATAAGGCTGGAAGTCAGCAGGCCTTGGCTCTGCATTTGGCTTATTGGGGGACATTATGCAAATCCCCTGTTGCTTAACAGAATAGATATAATGAGATATGTCTGCCTTCACTTTCTACCTCATAATTAGCAAAGGATAAGATGGGAAAATAAATGATGAAACAGTTTTAAGAAATGAAGATGCTCTATTAATTTAAGCAACCATTATTGTTATTAATACTGTTATTGATAATAATAAAGAGATTAAAAACATAAGCAATATGAATTAAACAAGATGACTAGTGATGGTTGCTCAGGTTTAGGAAGAGTCTGCCAACAGATAGCTTTGAAGGGTCAAGTTGTTCTCCACATAACTGAAACTGTCTTTCTCATCTTCTTCACCAATTTACATTGTCATTCCTTCAAAACTCAAATCAAATAAGATAATTTTAGAGATACTGGGCATTTCAGAAGTCATTAAGCTAATTCTTTCTCTATTTCCTACCAGAGGAAGCATATGAGGCCCAGATCGTTTGCAAAATTTGCCTCAAGTCACACTACCAGAGCATTTATTTGTTAATTACCTATTTGATATCCTTTCTGCCCTATCTCCTCTCCACCTCCAGCAGGAAGCCTGACCACCTGAGTTCACATAGCAGAAGACTGCAAATAATAATTAAATCCCATCTCTGCCATTAACTATTTGATATGAGCATTAAAATGTTTTTATTTGCTGTTGTTTTTTTAAAAAATCTGTGATCTTGGTTCTGAAGATAGAGATTTGATTGAAGCACAGGCCATACACCTAAAGACCTCAAAACCTTTCAGTGTAAACACTTTCTAAGCTGTGTTCTGTGGAATTCTGGACCCATGGAAGGTTAATAATGCTTGAAGGGAAATGAATGAGAAATGATTAATTTTATAACATCTCTTAGAGATTTGTAATGCACATTAGCATACTGAAGCCTTTTCAGAAATTCTGTTGAGCTGCTAAATTAGTTTAGTATTAAATAAAAGGTCTGAGATAATATTTAGGAAAGTGCCTTAAATGTAAACTAGAAGGCAGATGTCACATTCATCAAACACTTTTCCAAGTTTTTATTAATTAGACTTTGTACTATTTGTCTTTTTACTTTACTATTTTTTTCTAGGCTTAGATCATGTCTCCTATGAAGTTTGTCTAGTTTTGAGACATTCATTTGTCTAGAGATAAATTCAGATTTGACTAACATCAGTGGCCAGCCACTGAGGTAAGCATATTCTCTACGCTTTCTGGACCAGCACATACTAATCAGTTTAAAAATATTGGCTGTTGCTGTGATGATCGTGTCATACTGCAGATTTCTCTGGTTACCTGTGAGCTGTAGGCCAGTTTCTGTGATATGCTAGATGAATTAGAGCAGTGTTGTCAACACCTCTCAGAAGTACACTACCTCTCGCTCATTTCATCAACTCTTACGAGGATTGGTCCTTGATTTAATCTCTATGATTTTGTTTTGAAAGTCATATTAAAATAAGAACAATAAGAAATTGGCTTCAAAATAGTAACATTAGTAAATATTATTAGTAACTGCTAACACTAACCTAGCACCTCCATGTGCCCTGTTGTGTATTACATGCTTGATGTATTATTATGACATTCACTCCTCTCCACAATCCTATCAAGCAAGTTTTTGTTGTTGTTTTGCCCATTCTACAGATGAAAGAATTGGATCTTAGGTCAGCTGTGTAAGTGGTTCAAGACAATATATGAAATAAACATCGTAGTTAGTAATCAGTTTCAATCCTATTGAATTCCATGCTGACTTTCTTAAACTCTGGAAATATTATTCTGTTAGTTGTGGCTCCATTCCAGTGAAAATAATAATAATAACAATAAATAAACAAGCAAAAATAAAGAAATAAGAATAATTGTGAGCCAGGAGAATAGGGCCTGGGGGCAGGGAAACTAAGGACTTCCTAGATCTAAATCAAATGGAAACACTTCAGCTATGACAGGTAAAATCCTCTTCATTTACATAAGGTGTACACCAAATAACCAATGGAAACCTCTAGAAGATATTTAAAGCCCAGAAAATTCTGTAATTGGTCTCTTGAGCCCGTATGCTTGGGCCTGCTCCCACACTGTGAAGTATACTTTTGTTTCTAATAAATCTCTGCTTTTGTTGCTTCATCCTTTCCTTGCTTTGTTTGCGTGTTTTGTCCAATTCTTTTTTCCAAGACATCAAGAACCTGGACACCCTCCACCAGTAACATATTTTGGCAAGCTAGCCAGGAGGTAAGCCCAAAGTTTGGGATTTATTTTTCTCCTTTTTCTTTCTGCTTCATACAGAGGAATCTCTCCCTCTCTCTTTTCCTTTCCAACTTGGGGCCCTTGGTGGGTAGCACCTAAACATGGTGGCAACTGCAGATTTCTAGCCAGGGGCCGTTCTGAAGGACTCTTTCTATCTTTTCCAGTTGTGATCCCTGATCCGTAGTGTGGTGCAGCTCAGAGCAAACTCCCACGTGTTTCAGGAGACTTAAACCTTGTTTTTTATGCTAAATTCTTCCCTTCCCCTACTCAACTGGCTAAGGACAAAAGAAGACTACTCAGACTCCAATTCCTATCACTGTAGTTCATGGCTATCACTCTAGTGGAATGGGAAGCATAGGAAAGTGTAGCCTTACCAAATCATAAGGATGCTAAAAGTCAGGGATTATACCCAGGAACCAAAGGAAGCTCATAGTAGGCCATCACCCCTGGAGGAAAGCATGCAAAGCAGCACTGGTGCCCACCTAAGGTCAGAGGTGCCTGGCACTCTAAGATTGGGACTCACAAGGGGACGCCCCAGGGAATCCTGTGGCTCAACCTCTCCAAAAGGGACATCCTTGGCAAAGGTTCTGAGGTTTAGCGCTAAACCCTCCTTAGAACTTTCTCTCACAGTTTCAATACTGTTTGGCCCCAATGTTGTTTGGAATCTGGAGTTTACTGTCGAATGGGAAAGTGGGAGGGCATTGGATATATCCAGGCTTTTGTGCTGCTGTTCTAAGCAGTGGGGCTGGTTAATGTGTGATGCTCTCCTTTGGTGCTGTTTGGCCTCCGTGTTCTCTGGAGTGTGGGGAGGTTTGGTCTTTAAAAATCAAACTGCCATGGAAACTGCTTTCCCCAAAATTTTGGTTCCTGGCCTTCGTTGGATTATCTATTAAGGCAAACAAAGTAAAACTGGTGAGCTTGTATTGCTATCTCATGGCTAGGGTTCAAAGCTATCAGGTCTTTGTGTGTGTGTGTGTGTACACGTCTAGATGTGTCTATTTGTATGTACACTTATTGTTATATGTTGTAGCTACCGAATTGGCTTATAAGCAAAAGAGTGCCCATAAATTAAGCAAATAAGTCTAAGCAATTTTCAAGTTCACGCTACTTAAGTATAACTTTACTAAACAAGCCAGCTTTAAAATTATTGGTAAAATAAAAATAGAAATGCCTTCAGAATTGTCAGCATACTTTTTTTTTCTAGATTTTAAGTTTGTCTTTGCTAGTTATTTTGAGATGTCAGCATTTGGCATAGAAGGTTACAAAATTATAAACCCAGCCAAAACAAAATGGTCTTGGTTTGCATGCCTTTTTTTTTGACAAATGAGAATAATTTAACGTTAGCTAAGTCTTCTGAGTTATTGGTAAAATACCTATGTATTTAACTTTGAGGCCCTTACTTAGGTTTAGGTGAGCATCTGATGTTTACTGACTATTAAAAATGTGATTAACAAAAGAAGTAATTAACTTTAAATGACAGTGTCTAATATCTCAGTTTACAGAAGTAATCTAGATAAACTGTTAAAAGTGAAAGAATTGAGTTCAATGAATGGGATAAATATTTTAGGTAAACTTTTGTGTAAATTAAATCTTAAAATTATTTTTGATGCTCATTGAATATCTGTATCATTTCCAGTTAAGAAAGGGTTATGATTTGGGGAAATATGTTTCTAAAAATTGTGGAATTCTTACCTAAATGCCCAATATTGACAGTTCAGGATTTTTCGCTTTTTAGGGTTTCACTAAAGTTTTAGGTTACTGAGGATAAGAATTCTAGTTAACACATAATTCTGTATACAAAATGTGCCAGAAAGGGTTGTGTTATTAATGAGTAAAATAATAATTTTGTCTAATTCAGATGTTATCTAAAAGTTAGTTCAAATTACAGATTTGAAAAGCTTATTTATGAAAGAATGTAGTAAGGAACCAGTAAGTAGCGGAGAAAGATGTAAAAAATAAGTTTAGATAATAAAATCTTCTTTAAAACCTGATATAGAATTGGAGACATTTGGCTAATTAACATTTTCATAATTAAAGCTCTTAGTCTTGATTAAAGTAAAATAAGAAGTATTGTAAAGAAATTCATCAGCAGTTTGGCAATTCTTTTTTTTTGTTTGTTTGTTTTACTACAGTTAAGCATGAAGCTGGATTTAGTGTGGAACCAAATTTCACATACATGCTTGCATTGCTTCACACTATATTTACTGTTTTTCATGAATAGTGCTGGCACTGGAGTACTTATTGGTCATGTGCCTAGAGTGAATTTCTTGATTCCACAGGATGTTTGATAATATTGGTGGACTTAAGGTCATTGAATGTGTATCAGGAATAAAATATTCATTATGTGGGTTTTTTGTGGGCTCTAGGTAACACTGCAATCTCCAGAGTAGATTGAGATTGAGTTAAAAACATTAGTGTTGGTTTCTTTTTTATTTGTTTTTGCTTCTAATTTTAATTAATTTACTATTTATTCTCTGTGCTTTGCTTATGTGTGCATATATGGAAAACCATAATTTTTTTTTTTTTTTTTTTTTTAGTTTCTAGTGAAAGGCTTTTATTTGGTTCTGTGAATAGTTACTTCATTTCCTACACATTTCTAGCAAGTTAGCATGTGTTCTATTTATCTGGAATTCCTAGGCTACCTCTGTTGGGCTGGCAGGAATTGATGGAGCACACCAGCTTTTTAACCTTACACTAACTTTTTGGAGTTTAGGCTTCCTGATACTTTAAGTGTGTTGAGTATACTTTCATAAATAGAATTTCAGTCATATTTCTCTCTCTGCCTAATTTGTCCAAAATTTGTAAACTATTTGCGACTATTCTTAATTCTTGGCAATATATGTGTTTGCATACAGACAGAACAGGGTTGCAAGGGTTGCTCAGGGAAAGGGAACCCAGAAGCCTGGCATGCCAGCAAAAGGTAAGAATTATTTCTCACCATTCAGACTCTGACACCTCTCTCTGTACAAAATGGTAAATGAATGGTAAAAGTCACTGTTTATTTCCTCTGTAAAGTTCTGATTAATGCAAAAAAGAATTTTGAGGCTGGTCTTAAGCTGTAGTGAATCTGGTGTGCTTTGTGTGTCTTTCTGTATTATTGTGTCATAAAGAGGGGTATCTTAGGATAAAATGCATACCTAGGACGCCATAGGCCCACTGTTTAAGATGGCCCAGCAAACTGGTCAGCCGTATCCTTGAGATCTGGACCTTGTTACCATGTGGCTGTGTTTTCTCTTTTCACAATGGCAGCCTGGGTTTAGGGTTAGATTCCTGGCTTAGGGAATGAGTTCTTTATCATCTGTCTGTCTATGTATTTATATGTGTTGTGTAAAAAAGCTTTAATTAATTGGTTTAATAAGAAGAACTTCAATTAAATATTTTGTCAGAAAAGTAAAAAGCATAATAGTTTTTATTTAGTTCATGTCACTTAACTAATCTTTGGGAAATAAAGACAGTTTTAAAGATTATTGGTAAAATAAGAATATCTTCAAAAATGTAAACATTTCGTCTCAATTATGTGGGTCAGATACTAGGTTCACTAAATACTTCAAGGTCATAAACTGCTTTTTTTATTTTTAAAAATTGTTTTAAGGTATTTTACACCAGAGAAAGAACCACATGTCATGTATAAAACTACTAACCCAAGTAGGGCCAAAAAATTAATTGAATACCAATAAAATACTTTGCCAGATTTTCATGTTAAGCCAACTGATACTGAAATTGTTTATACCATTTGAATGAACTCCACAGTCTAAGTCAAATTATCTATGATAACCCATCAGTTATCAGTGCTATTCACCTAATTTGGAGAAACAACTGGTATTCAAGAGGATATAAGTTGAATGTTAATTAAGCATGCATTCATGGAGAACAAGGATGGCCACCTTGTCATTCCTGAGTCCTTAAAGCTTTTGTAATTAAAAGTTCTGCATTCCATGACTCACCATGGAAAAGATAAAATGATACAAATTGAATATATTGGTGTGGTGGCTAATAAATTGCTAAAACAGTTTGTAACCAATGTTTGGTCCCATATTCCTGGGAAAACAATCAAAGCGTCAGGTACGTTGAATCACCTGATGGGTGATTTGTACATTTTATAAACAGATTCGTTATTTGTCAATTGTTATTTTCAGTGCATGGTTTCTGGTTATATAAAAGCTCTCCTGTTCAAGAAGGCTGATGTTATAACACGAATATGCCATGAATTAAGAATAGTCGCAAATAGTTTACAAATTTTGGACAAATTAGGCAGAGAGAGAAATATGACTCAAATTCTATTTATGAAAGTACACTCAACACACTTAAATAACATATAACTAAGTTATTATGATGCAGTGTATTTTCACCAGGTAAAGAAAGCTTTTTATGGTTCACTGAGGACAATCAACCTATTCACAATCTAGAACCCTAAGATTAGATCTTCTGAGAACATCGGAGAAAGATTGTCCTTGCCATCCACACTGAAGCAAAACTTTGGAACCTTGAACTTTGGGTTCATAGTGTCACAACTGAGTGGAGTCCCTCCATACTGTTGGAATTGTACACCCATTGGAACCCTTAAGGTAAAGCTAACCAGGGAAGTTTCTTCCCAGAAGCGTGATGTGAATAATTTTTCTCAAGATCATGGATCAAGACTTCTCTAATATCACAGGACACTTATTTTTAAATATTTTTTCCTTGCTTATTCCTCCATGAGCAATAGAAGTGAAAAAGGGGTCTGTTGTGTACATTTATGGGTATACTTTTATTTATGAAGGATTTTGCAGCCGGCCTTATGTCCTTTTTCCATGATTTGGAATAAAAGAGGCAATGATTAGAAATGTATCCCTCATAATAGGCTCTATACCAGATTCTCCTATAAAGGCTATGGTTCCACAACAGACTTTAAATTCTCTTGTGAAAGTTATGATAGAATTGGCTGAATGGAGAAGTATCTGTGCAGCTGCTGGCACTTGTGGCCTATGGAGAAACACATCAAATGAAGATTATAGAGATTCAGTGGTAGGGGATTAATAAAGAGATTGCTTAATTAAGTGAGTAGACTCTTTATCTAGCTCATTCTTTGATGTCTTTGATTTTAGGAGGCTTAATTTATGGGGACCCTGGGTAAAGAGTGTACTCCAAACTCTTGGTATTATCCTCCTGATAGTCATAATAATAGTCTCCCTGGAGTGCTGTATTCTCTCAAGTGTTTTATATGTTTACATGCAGCCATCTCTAGAATCTCAAATGATATCTCTTCAACTGACAAGAGCAGAAAGAAATGTGTGACCATGAGGACACTGTAACCTAGGAGTGACATGCTGAGACCAGAAACCCAAAACGATGTTAACCGAGAGTGGCACTAAGGCCCTAAGTTTTGGTCACACTCTCACCTAAGTGAGAACCTTACCAAAAAGGGGGAATTTTTTTAAACAAAATTATGGTAGTTCACTGCTGTGGACTGAGCTTATGCACTAGGTTTCAACAGACCAAACCAAACCAGACCAAAATGAAGTCGCTTATGCTAACACTTTAAGGAAACACATAGACCCTAGAACAGACCAGGTTTTGTTTTTCTCCTGCAAATCTCTATAACAAATATTCCTGTCAGCATAGGTATCCACCCCCTTTAAGTTCCCATTAAATCTTTTAACCAAATTCATTTCCCCTCTCCTAGACACTATCAAGCTTCAGTTGATCATGCCACAAAGGTTCCAGCCCATTCCACACCTGGCCATCAAGGAGCTACCCTGCCTCCACTAGACAAAGCAGGGCAAGAGTTCCATGATCCCCAAGAAGTAGGGGCTATGCCCCAAGCCAGAATGAAGCGGTTACAGAAGAAAGACCAGTGGTCCCTCTGCCTTCCATAAAGATTTATGGGGATCACATCTTTCAGGGCATAAATCAGGAGAATAGGGCATGGAAGCAGAGAACCTAAGGACTTCCTAGAACTAAATCAAATGGAAACACTTCAGCTATCCCTGGAATATCCTCTTTATTTATATAAGGGGTACACCAAATAACCAATGGAAGCCTCTAGAAGATATTTAAACTCCAGAAAATTCTGTAACTGGGCACTCGAACCCCTATGCTCAGGCCTGCCCCCACACTGATTTTGTTGCTTCATTCTTTCCTTGCTTTGTTTGTGCATTTTGTTCAATTCTTTGTTCAAGATGCCAAGAACTTGGCTACCCTTCCACTGGCAACAGTTGGAACAAGGTAAAGACTAATTTTCTGCCACAGTCAGAAGTAGTGTGGTCAGTCTTAGGTTAATATGGCATATGCCACAATTTATGAGCCTGACCTATCTTGTAGCTTTATTAAAAGTGGATTCCATTCCCAAGATCATCCCATGGTTCAAGATGGCTACAGAACTGCAGTAATTACGTCCACATTCCAGAGAAGAGTAGAAAGACAATTCATTTGTTTCTCACTAGGCAGCATTTACTTGCTTCTATACTTAGTTACAAGGGAGGCAATACAAAGTAGTATTTATTCCAGTTGGTCTGTGTCCAATTTCATATTAAAAAGTAACCGTAGATGAGGAAAGAACAGATACTGGAGAAGAGCTAGCACTTACCCACAATTCTTCCTAAAAACCAACTCCAAGAGTGCCAAGAAATCCTAATAGTTTATTGTATTTTTACTTTGTTTAATAATAATATTATGTAAAAATATTCAAAAATTAAGATAAAATATTAAGTATTAATTTTGGAAACCAACAAATCTTATAAAAATTTAATACAAAACAAATTATTTCACTGTAGCATGAGCTAGACTTCTGTAACACCATTATAATTATTTTGTACATTAAAATGAAATTAATATATAATTTGAGTCCTTGTTATTCAAAGTCAACAAAATTCAGAAAGAGCTTAGTGAAATGTACCTAAGTACTGGAAACCATATAAAGATAAATTAAAACTAATTTTCACCTTCAAAGATTTACACAGTCATGAACTACATACTGACATTTCAGTCAACAATGGACCGTATACATGACAGTGGTCCCATAAAATTATAATGGAGGGGAAAAATTCCTATTGTCTAATGACATGGTAGGTGTAATGCCATAGCATTGCTCACATTTGTGGTGATTCTGGTGTAAACAAACCTGCTGTTCTTTCAGTCCTATAGAAATTCAGCATATAGATTATGCACGTAATACTGAGGTAGAAGGTGGGACTTGACTCTAGATGTGGGGCTTGGACAGTGGACCAAATTGAGGACTAGCTAAACAGTGCAGGGATGGAAGCAGCTTTCCATAAGACATGCCCACCAGTGTGCCATGTCCATTTACCATTGCCATGGCAACACCCAGAAGCTAACACCCCTTTCCATGGCAATGCTCTGACAACCCAAAAGTTACTACCTGTATCCTAGGAATTTTTGCATAAATTGCCTCTTAATTTGTATATAATTAAAAGTAGGTATAAATATGACTGCAAAATGGCTTTTGAGCTGCTACCCTGGGCACACTACCCATGGGGTAGCCCTGCTTCACAAGGAGCAGTATGTCTACTGCTGCTGTATACTGCTGCTTAAATAAAAGTTGCTGTTGAGCACTACCATCTCTCCCTTGAATTCTTTCCTAGGTGAAGCCAAGAACCCTCCTGGGGTAAGCCCCAATTTGGGGGCTCACCTGCCTGCATCAACACTTCATAATGATAATAAATATGTTACTGGTTTATGCCTTTGCTATACTATACTTGCATCACTTTAGAGTGTACTCCTTCTACTTGTAAAAACAAAACAAAAAAAGGTAGTCATAGCCTCAGGTAGCTCCTTCATGAGGTATTCCACAAGAAGGTATTGCTATTAGGAGATGACAGCTCCATGTGTGTTATTGCCACTGAACATCTTCCAGTGGGACCAGATGTGGAGGTGAAAGACAGTGTTATTGATGGCCTAGGCTAATGTGTGTGTGTTTTAGTTTTTAACAAAGTTTTAAAAAGTAAGAAAAAGAAATTAAAAAATAGAAAAAGTTTATAGAATGATATACATGTTTTTGTACAGCTGTACAATATGTTTGTGTTTTAAGCTGTGTTCATACAAAAGAGTCAAAACTATTTTAACAATTAAAAGTTTATAAAGCAAAAAGTTACAGTAAGCTGAGGTTAATTTATTGCTGAAGTAAGAGAATTTTTAAAATATAAATTTACTGTACTGTAAGAGGAAAGTGTTTATAAAGTCTATAGTAGTGAACAGAAAAGCCCTGGATTTTCACATTCACTCAACACTCACTCACCAACTCATCCAGAGTAATTTTCAGTCCTGCTAGCTCCATTCATGGTCAGTGCCCTATATAAGTATATATTTTTTTTACCTTTTATACTGTATTTTACTGTCTTTTCTATATTTGTATTCATGGATAGCAACCATTCGGTTATAGTTGCCTACAGTATTCACTACAGTAACATTCCATACAGGTTTACAGTCTAGGAGCAATAGGCTATATCATATAGCCCAGGTGGGTCGTAGGGTACCATCTAGGTTTGTGTAAGTATACACTATGATGTTCACACAAGGAGGAAATCACCTAACAATGCATTTTTCAGATGTATCCCTGTTGTTAAGTGACATATGACTGTAGCTTAGAAGAGAAAAGCAAATGTCCAGATTAATTTAAATGAATATCTATGTAAGATAAATGTCCTACAACTAGTATAATTCTAATGTTGATTTAAAGTGAGGAGGAGATTGCATTTAGTTAGTGAATTAAAAATGCTTCGTAGAGTAGATTACATTTTAGAAGAGCCTAAAAGCATAGGTAAGGTTTCTAGGAATAGGTGTGTGTGTGTGTGTGTGTGTGTGTGTGTGTGTGTGTATGCATGTGGGCAAGTGCGTGTGTGTGTGTGTAAAATGAGTGAATAACAAGAAAAAGATGGGACTTTTAGGGAAGACCTGATAGTCCAGATTGACTGGTGTGTATGAAAATGGACCTCCTAGTTGTGCACATGATTCTGGATTCATGCATGCATGCTTGCATGCAACAAATGTTTATTGAGTGCTTACTATGGCCAGGTATTATTTGAGACAGTAATGAATATAAAACAAAGTTGCTGTTTTATATGGAATGTGTAGTATAGGACACACAGCAGAAATAAACAAAAAATAAATAAGTGAAATAACACTAGAGACTTATGCTATAAAAAGTAAAATAGGGGCCAGGTACAGTGGCTCATGCCTGTAATCTCAGCTCTTTGGGAAGCCGAGGCGGTGGATTATCTTAGGTCAGGAATTCGAGAGCAGACTGACCAACATGGAGAAACCCCATTTCTAGTAAAAATGCAGAATTAGCCAGGCGTGGTGGCATATGCCTGTAATCTCAGCTACTGGGGAGGCTGAGGCAGGAGAATCGCTTGAACCCAGGAGGCAGAGGTTGCAGTGAGCCGAGATCACGCCACTGCACTCCAGCCTGGGCAACAAGAGCGAAACTCCGTCTCAAGAAAAAAAAAAAGTAAAATAGGATAACGTAATAGTGACAGAGGCTTGGAGGGTTATATTAGAATGATACTTTGAGGAAGTGGCATTTCTGCCAAGTCGTGAATGATAAAAAGAAGTGGCTTGTGATGATTAGAGAAAAAGTAATCCAGGCAGAAGGGCAGGAAATAAAATGTCCCCTTAAAGAGAAGCTTAGTGTGAATTATTGATTCACAAAGACAATGTGGGCAAATCATAGGGAAGAAAGCATAGAGTGATAGAAGATGAGCTTAAAGTGGTAGGCAAGGGCCAGGATAGGAAGTCCTTTAAATATCATACTAAATATTAAGTGTCTTATTTTATGACCAATGGGAAGTCACTGGAAGATTTCGAGCCACAGAATAATATGATCTGGTTTATGTTTTTGACCATTACTTTGGATGATGTTTGGAAAATAAATTTTAATGGCACTAGTGGCAGCTTGGGTTTACTGAAGTAACTAAAGGTCAAAATATTTTTCAAAATTTTTAACCTCAATGAGAGTCTAAATCAAGTGTCGGGAAACTTTGGTCTACTGGCCAAATCCAGCCTACAACCAGTTTTGGTAAATAAAGTTTAATGGAACACAGCCATGCTCACTTGTTTGTAGATTGTCTATATCAGATGTCTTTTGTGCTACAGAGGCAGAGTTGAGTCTTTGCAACAGGAATAGTATGGCTTGAAAAGCCTAAAGTATTTACTATTTGATCCTTTGCAGAAAAAGCATACTCACCTTTGGTCTAAATTAAAATGTTAATATGAGATAAAAAGTAACTCTGAAAAGGAGGCTGGATTTGGCCACAACAGGCTTGAAAGAAAGAGATTTAGAGAAGATAAATCGAATGTTCCAAGCTCTTACTGACTGGGAGAAGAATGTTGCCATTGTCGGAAATGATATGAAAAACAAGAAGAGCTGGTTTATAAGAATAGAGAGGAGGAGGTTGAAGATAGTTGATTTTTCATTAGGTAAGGCAGAGGGATTCTATAGATATTTGAAAAATGAGCACTTGAACTTTAACAATAGTTTTTGAGATGGTTTATCATGCTCAATATTTTGAGTTAAAATGTACATATGGTAAATGTAAAAATTGTAAGGGTACGATTTGATATATTTTAGCAAAATTTTGTAACACACACTCAAATCAACATATAAAATTTCATTATTATCTCAGAAAATTCCCTTGTGCTTTCTTCCAACCACTCACTTCATCCAGACCCCAGCCATAGGTTCTCATTTCTATCAACATACATTAATTTTATACTATTCTTGTACTTCATATAGCATAATCCTATGATACGTACTCCATGGTGCCTGGCTTCTTCTGTTCAACATAATATTTTTGAGATTCGTCCATTTTGCTGTGTCTATTGGTAGTTCAGTTGTTTTCCTATTGCTGAATTTCTGAGTATGTTTATTCATTATCTCATTAACAGACATTTGCTTTGTTTCCAGTTTTTTATCATTATAAGTAACACTGCTATAAACATTCTCATATTATGGATAAATATATATGTTTAAACATATAAACATTCATGTAAACTTTCTCTTTTGTGGATATGTTTTCCTTTCTCTTGGGGAAACACCTAGGAGTATATGGAAGTTTTCATTTTCACTGGGTAAATACGTAAGGATATTACTGAAACATAATGTAGGTTGTCTTAACATTTTAATAAACTGCCACTGGGCACGGTGGCTCACATTTGTAATCCCAGCACTTTGGGAGGCCGAGGCGGGTGGATTATCTGAGGTCAGGAGTTCGAGACCAACCTGGCCAACATGGTGAAACCCTGTCTCTACTAAAAATACAAAAAATTTGCCAGGCGTGGTGGCCCATGCCTGTGATCCCAGCTACTTGGGAGGCTGAGGGAGGAGAATTGCTTGAGCCCAGGAGATGGAGGTTGCAGTGAGCTGAGATCACGCCATTGCACTCCAGCCTGGCCAACAGAGCGAGACACTGTCTCAAAAAAAAAAAACAAAAAAAAAAAACTGCCAGAGAGTTTTCCAAAGTGATTATATTATTTTACACTTTCTTCCTAATAGACAACAAAGTATAAGATTTCCATTTGCTTCACTTGCTCATCAACATTTAACATTGCCACATTGCCATTTTTTTAATTTTATCCTCTCTAGTGTAAATTGGTATTGCATTGTGATTTAAATTTTCATTTTCTTTATGACTAAATGAGTTGAGTATTTCTACATCTCTTTTTGTGAAATGTTTAAGACTTACAGTGTTGCTTCCTTTTTACTACTTATCTTCAAAAGTTTTTAATACTAGATGCAAGTCTTTAGTCATATATGTGTATTGCAAAATATTATTCCATCTGCAGCTCCTGATTTTACTTGTCTTTTCATGAGCAGTTTTTAATACTGATGATGTATGAATTATTATCTTTCTTATGTTAGTAATTTCTGTATCCTGTCTAAAAGTTGGTACTTACCCTAAGGTCACAAAGATATTCTTCTGTGTTTTCTCTTATAAGCAGAATACATTCACCTTTTACATTTAATTCTATAATCTGTCAAAAATAAATTAAATTTTGGGCTGGGCACAGTGGCTCATACCTGTAATCTCAGCACTTTGGGAGCCAGTGCAGGAGGATTACTTAAGCCTAGGAGTCTGAGACCAGCCTGGGCAACATAATACGGTGAGACTCTCACTACAAAAAATACAAAAATTAGCCAAGCATGGTGGCATGCACCTGTAGTCCCAGCTACTCAGAAGGCTGAGGTGGAAGGATCACTTGTGCCCAGCAGGTTGAGGCTGAAGTGAGCCAAGGTTGTGCCACTGCACTCCAGCCTGGGCAACAAAGCAAGATTCCTTCTCTAAAAAAATAATTAATTAAATTAAAGTTTGGATATTATGTGAGTTAGGAGGTCAAGGTTTATTTTTGTCTACTCATTTATTGAGATGCACAATCTGTGAAAAGACTTTCTTTTCCCTGTTCAGTTACCTTGGTGCATTTGATTAAAATCTATTTCTGAACTACAAATTCTGTTCAATTGGTCTGTTCATATTTTAACAATGTATCTTCCAATCATTGAATATGATATATCACTACTCAATTAAACCTTCTGTAATTTACCTCAGCAAAGTGTTGTGGTTTAAATGTAGAAGTCCTACATTGTTTTTGTTCAATTTATTTCTAATAGTTTAGGTCTTGGTATTGGAGACATGCTGACCTTATAAAATAAATTGGGAAGTGTTCTTGGGTACTCTACTTTCTAAAATAATTTGTGAAGATGATTATTGTTTTCATCCTTCAGTGTTTCATAGAATTCACAAGAACATCTTGTGGGCCTGAGTGTTACTTTGGGAGGATTTTGATAATGAATTCTTTTAACATATAATTGTTATTTATATTTTCTAGTTTATCATCTTTTTTCAGTTTTTTGAGTCATGTAGTTCAAGGAATTTGTTCAGTTCATCCAAGTCATCAAATTTATTAGCTTTATATTGTCCATAATATTTGCTTTTGATCATTTTAGTATATAGTAAGATCTATAGATTTATCTCATATTTTATTCTAGATATTGGTAATTTATAGTTTCTTCCCTTTTGCTCCTTATCATTTTATCTACAGTATTAAAAATTGTATTGATTTTATCAATGGAACAACTTTGCCTTTGCTATTTTCCTCTATTATATGTTTTCCATTTTATTGATTTCTATTCTTAGTCCTATTTTTCATGCTTCTACTTGACTTAAATTTTCCTTGCTTTCCTACCCTCTCATGCTAAAAAATTAAAACATTGAATTTAAATTTTACTTCTTTTCTAACATGAGAAATTAGAACTATAAATTTCCCTTTAAGCACTGCTTTAGCTGTTTCTCACAATGTTTACTATGTTGCTTTTTCATTATAGTTGCTTATTATAAATTCTAATTCCCCTTGTCATTTCTTTATTGAGCCTTGGCTCATGTAGAAGTATCTTGTTTACTTTTCAAATAACTGGATATTTTCTAGATATATCAGCTATCTTAATTTATTGATTACCAATTTAATTTTATTCTCTTGTGATCAAAGGACATACTCTAGAAGAATCAATGTTTTGCAACTAATGAGAAGTATTTTGTGACCCAGTAAGTGGTCTACCTTGGTAAATGTTCCATGTACACTTCAGAAAAGACTGTGGTTTTTGTAGTTCTTGGGTACAGTATTCTACATCAGTTGGATTGAGTTGGTTGATTGTAATCTAGTTGTTCTATCAATTGCTGACTGTGCAGTGTTAAAATCTCCAACTATGATTATATATTTGTTTTATTTATCTATTTCTGCCATTTTTGCCTCCTGTATTTTGAAGTCTGACACATATATAATACATGTAATTATATACAATATATACACACATATAGACACACATATGTAGTACACACATGTGTGTGTATATGTGTACACACTGACGTACACTGACACATATGTAATCACTCTGACCTCCTGATGAATTGACGCTTTTGTCATTTTGAAGCAATGTTCATCTCTGATACTACTTGTCTTGAGGTATAATTTGTCTAATATTAATATAGCCATACTTACCTTTTTAAAGTTACTATCTGCATGATATATATTTTCTATATATTTACTTATCTAAAAAGTCATAAAGAATTGACTTTATGTTTGAAGTACATCTCTTGTAGACAGTATGTAGTTGGGATATACATTTCTGTTCAGCTTGAGAATCTCCGGCTTTTAATTAGAGTGCCTAATTCAGCTATATTTCATGTAATCTTTATATTGTTTTAATTTAATTAAAAAATCTTGATAGTTGTATAATTTTTGTTCTATATGGGTCTGTCCCCATTTTCATTTCTTCTTTTTTGTTTTCTGTTCAATTAGATAAATATTTTTGAGTATTCCATTGTTATTATTCTAGTGGGTTTTTTCATTTTAATGTCTACTTTTGTATTCCAATATGCTTCTGTGACTTACGAAGTCTTCCTAGAGTTAGCATTGTGTATTTCACATTAAATTTGAACAAAAATACACCTTACAATTAAATAACTCCATTTTTCCTCTCCTTTCACTGTTATATTGTCATATATTTTACTTCTATAAACATTATAAAGTTTATGAGACAATGCTATTATTTTTTAATTTAAACCATCAATTATCTCTTAAAAAAGTAAAGGAAAAAATGCACACTAGTCTATTATATTTATCCAGCTATTTATACCTTCTAGTATTCCTTATCCTTGTTTATTAAGGGTTACAGTATGTCCCCTTTAAATTTATACGTTGAAGTTCTAATTCCCAGAACCTCAAAATTTAACATTACTTGAAATAGTCTTTGTGAATTTAATTAATTAAGATGAGGTAAACAGAATGGGCCCTAATCCAATATGACTAATGTCCTATATAAAGAGGAAATTTGGACACGGAGACACCCACAGGGAAAATGACACATGGAGATAAAGGCAGGCATCAGGTGACGCTTCAACAACCCCAGAAATACTAAAGATTGCCAGTAAAACCCCAGAAACTATGAAAGAGGCATGGAACATATTTTCCTTCACAGCCTCCAGAATTAGAAGGAACCAGCCCTGCCAACACCTGGAACTCTGATTCCTAGCCTCCAGAATGGTGAGACAATATATTTTTGTTGTTTAAATCATCCAGTGTGTGGTCCTTTGCCATAATACCTATAGCAAACTAATACATTATTTATAAATCCATGTTTTTATCTAGTATAATGTCCTTTAGCCTTAAAAATTCTTTAGCATTTATTGTAGTGTTGGTTTACTAAAAGTGAAGTCCTTTAGCTTTTGTTTACCTGAAAATGCCCTTATTTTCACTACATGTGGAATTCTTCTGGATGACTTGGTGAATCATGTGTTGTAGAGAGTCTAGATTATGATGTCTTCTTTTAATTGACACTGAATTTTGTTCTGGCAGGTAATTAAGTTACTAGCAAATACTTTTGATCTCATCAACTTTGAGTTTATTCTTTACTGGAAAAATAATCTATTTTAGTGTTTTACTTCAGTTCTAGGATATGGCTTTTACTCTAGGCTGTTATTTTGGTCCTTACTCTTTCTTACTTACTGAATGTCAGAGATTCTTCATTCAGTGAGGTCTCTACCCCACAGCTAGATTAGAACCCCAATGCCTCTCAGCACTGTGTGTCTATTGGCATATCATTCCACTCTCAGACCCACAACACTTGCTTTCTGCAAGGTATTGCAGAATCTTGCCCTGTGATGTGCGGTACTGTCCTTGGCAATAAATTTCATGGCACCCTCTCCTGACTTCTGATAGTTTCTTCCACAGCTACCCTTTGTCTGGTTCTCTGCCCTGGAAATTACAAGTGTTTCAGCAGCTTTGAGCTCCAGTCTCTGCTTCTCACTGTACTCTACTGGGTGTCCACCTTCTGTTGCCATGGTCAGGGGAATGCCTCCATCTAAATGGAAAGGGTTGAACAGGGAGTTCGCCACCCCTTGTGTTAACTTCTCTCAAGTATCCGGTCCTGCACTGCAGGTTTTCCAATGCCGAAATCAGTTGCCTTGTATATTTTGTGTAGTGTTACAGCTGTTTAAAGCAGGATGGCAATTTCAGTCCACTTATTCTATAACTTCCTATGGTGGCTGGAAGCAGAATTTCCAATGATCATTTGTATTTTATGTCCCTAAACGTTGACATTTTAAATTAATTCTCAGAAAGTCTGGGTTAACAGTATAGCCAGAATCTTCTAGCTTCTAAAATGTTAGCTAATTAGAAAATCTAGATGATTTCAAATTTGATTAATTTTTGTCATTAACAGTAAAAGAAAGCTATTGATTTAATTGCTGGACACCTGACAATGGACTTATGTTTTAAAAAATAGATGCTGTGAATGTAAAGTCATACATGAAACTCTAGGTTTTGTTTGATTTAACTAAAGGAGCCATCTAGTTTTCTTATATTAAGCATATTCATCCTGGATTTTGACTGTATGTTTTGTCTGACAATGTTTTTATCAACACATATACAATTTGATACCTACATTTTGTATTAAATTCAAGCTTCCTCCTTTCTTCTCTTTTCAAAATCTTTCAAAATCTCTTTCAATCTAATGTGATCAATTTTACATCTCCCTGTTCCCTAATCCTCTTCATATTTTCTTACTCTGTAATCCTCCCAATACTTTTGTATTTATTTTTCAGAACTGTTTGTAGTCTGCCTCTTTGGAATGATGTTCTCCTCTCTGCCTACAAATCTTGTCTCACCAACAACGTGACACATTTTCCTTGCTGACTCAAGATACTCTGAGCTCCCGCTCTGTATTTCTGTGGGTATACCAAGCCGTTTAAAATCAGTTAAAGGCGAGGTTTTTTTACTGTCCCTAATGTACCAGACTTGACTCATTCCTTCTTTTCTACAGTTGTCTCTGATCTCCTTTTGGGAATATTCCTGACATAAATGAACTAATCCATGAAAGTTTAAGAAAGTCATCTAAGGAAACTGGCCAGTGTTGCAGATTCAAACTAGCTTTCTGACAACTTATCTTACAAATGAATATTTAAAATAAGAAAGTCCAAACTAGAGGAAATAAACAATCTTCTGAAATGGGCCTTACAAATAATAATAATAATGATAATAATAAAAGACTTACGTTTCCAGTTCCTTTAGGTAGCATTCACGCAGGCATTCCAATTACTGCTGTTAACTTAGGGTACCACATTAATTTTCAAGAATGTTTCATTTATAGCAAGGCAGAAAAAGTTCTGCTTTCTGGTAAGTACTTCATATTTTTATTTCAGGTGAGCAGAAATTGAATGGAAATACAGTTTATAAAAAAATGTAAGCTGAAAATAAGTAAGCTCCTGACATTCAGTAGAAATGGCAGTTTGCAAGGGAGAAGAAAATTTGGCTCATGCCCGGCATCAAATTTAGCTGCAAGATTATTGGAGAAGTAATGAAAATTTATCTCCTGAGGTCATGTAATGCCTGTTACTAAAGGAGTTCTCAATTATTTGTGCTGTGGATACATACACACTTGAGACTTCACTGCATACACCAAAAGATACATTGTAATTATGTTCACCTTATTTTCTAAGCCTAACATCATGTCACATGGTTTGGCAACTGTATATAACAGTACAATCAAGATTCTTTTAGAAAATCTAGAATGTTATGATTACCTTATATATAACAGGGATCTGAAAGAGACATCTAACATTAAATGAATATTTACTTTTATACATTAGGCATATCACATAGCCTATTTGTTTCCAACAACATTGTTATTGATAGATAAGAAATATTGTTTCTTCTTTCTTATTATTATTATACTTTAAGTTCTGGGATACATGTGCAGAATGTGCAGGTTTGTTACATAGGTATATACCTGCCATGGTGGTTTGCTCACCCATCAACCCATCATCTACATTAGGTATTTCTCGTAATGTTATCCCTCCCCTAGCCCCCAACACCCTGGCAGGCCCCAGTGTTTGATGTTCCCCTCCCTGTGTCCATGCTTTCTCATTGTTCAACTCCCACTTATGAGTGAGAACATGTGGTGTTTGGTTTTCTGTTCCTGTGTTAGTTTGCTGAGAATGACAGTTTCCAGCTTCAACCATGTTCCTGCAAAGGACATGAACTCCTCATTTTTTATGGCTGCATAGTATTCTACCGTGTATATATGCCACATTTTCTTTATCCAGTCTATCATTGATGAGGAATTGGGTTGGTTCCAAGTCTTTGCTATTGTGAACATTGCTGCAATAAACATACGTGTGAATGTGTTTATTGTAGAATGAATTATAATCCTCTGAGTATATACACAGTAATGGGATTGCTGGGTCAAATGGTATTTCTAGTTCTTTATCATTGAGGAATTGCCACATCATCTTCCACAATGGTTGAACTAATTTACACTAACAGCGTAAAAACGTTCCTATTTCTCCATATCATCTCCAGTTTCTGTTGTTTCCTGACTTGTTAAAGATAGCCATTCTAACTGGCATGAGATGGTGTCTCATTGTGTTTTTGATTTGCATTTCTCTAATGACCAGTGATGATGAGCTTTTAATTTCATATAAAACCAAAAAAGAGCCCGTATAGCCAAGACAATCCTAAGCAAAAAAAAAAAAACAAAACTGGAGGTATCACATTACCTGACTTCAAACTATACTACAAGGCTGCAGTAACCAAAACAGCATGGTACTAGTACCAAAACAGACATATAGACCAATGGAACAGAACAGAGCCCTCAGAAATAACGCCACACATCTACAACCATCTAATCTTTGACAAACCTGACAAAAACAGCAATGGGGAAAGGATTCCCTATTTAATAAATGGTGTTGGGAAAACTCACTAGCCACATGCAGAAAACTGGAAATGGACCCCTTCCTTACACCTTATACAACAATTAACTCAAGATGGATTAAAGACTTAAACCTAAGACCTAAAACCATAAAAACCCTTGAAGAAAACCTAGGCAATACCATTCAGGACATAGGCATGGGCAAAGGCTTCATGACTAAAACACCAAAAGCAGTAGCAACAAAAGCCAAAATTGACAAATGGGATCTAATTAAACTAGTGAGCTTTTGCACAGCAAAATAAATTATCATCAGAGTGAACAGGCAGCCTACAGAATGGGAGAAATTTTTGCAATCTATCTGACAAAGGGTTAATATCCAGAATACATTAAAAACTTGAACAAATTTACAAGAAAAAAACAAACAACCCCATCAGAAAGTGGGCAAAGGATATGAACAATTTCTTCTTAAATATAAAAACAATTAAGCTATAATAAGTGACAAGATAAAATATAAATCTATGTCAGTCTGATTCCAAAGCCTATATTTTAAAAACCTATATAACCTAAACTTTCAAAGAAACAAAGTTAATTAGGAAGGCTTTGAGCATTTAGATGAAGAGCATGTAAACTGAAATTAAGGATAGTAATGTGTGAAAAAACAGGTAAGAATAGTAATGAGGAGGCAAGGATTGAAAGACTTTTGGGGCACTATGCTCACTATGTAGCTGATGGGACAATTACAACTCAACCTTAGCATCACAGCATGTAACAAACCTGCACGTGTACTCCCTGAATCTAAAATAAAAGTTAAAATTATTAAAAATAGAATATTAATGAAACCTACATTTATAGAATTTGGGAATATTTTTCTGATAGTAGAGAAGAGAGGGAAAATTTACAAAGGACTCTAAGTTAATAGTTCTCAATTCTATGAGACCACTAAACTCCCTTTATATAAAAATATTACTAATAACTTCCCTTTGTTTACCCTGCAAGGTAATTTTTATATACCCAAAACAAAGTGATTAAATTTTTAAAATGTGACATATAAAAGAGAAATTAAAGAAAAATAATTTATAACAAATACTAAGGTATATAAATCCTCAACATAAGTAACCTGTGAGGAAATAATAAAGTCAATAAGTTTTGAATGAGTAAATAAATGAAAAAGTGATTCTTCAGATCTTTGCATCCACATGAATAATCACTAAAAATTGCAACAGCTGCAAATGCAAACTTATGGCCTGCTTGGGTACTTGCTGACTCAAACACCATGAGCTGTGTTGCCAACAATGATATACTTTTCTATAATGGTGAAAAACTCCTGGCAATGTTTGAGGAAAAAGGACAATTTACATAGTGTATGAATTTCTGGAAATTCAATATATATTAAAACTTTGCCAAAAATTCTTTATGTTTTATGTAAAACAGTTAGATTCTATGCTGAGGAAATTTCTAAAATAGGTTTTTCTTTTTCACCTATCTAAATGTCTAGTAGGACATTTTAAATTCATTCAAAATGTAGAACAATTCGTTGGTGCATGGGCAGCTTGATCTGCAAGATGTGTAGCATTCTTACCCTCTGTGTACTTAGTGGTACTAGCAAACCTCAGTTGTTATGACAATCCCAACTCAACAGGCCTTACAAATGTTAAAAATGCGCTCACCAGGAAAGATTTATCTGAGAGGTTGAGAACTGCAGCAGTAAGGTTTTGTGTTTGGGTGTTGGGCATAATGTCGATGCATTTAATTATTAACAAGAAATGTGAGAATGGCCAATTTTGGGGCAGAAGCTAATTAGATCAGTTATAGATTATACTAAGAATAGATGTGGGATATGTGTGTAAGGCTACCTATAACAAGTTGGAAGTGAGGAACAAGAATTCAAAAGAGAGGTTAGACAATAGTTCAGAATTATAGGAATGGGTTAGTCAACAGAAGGTCACGTGGAAATTATGAAAAAATAATATGAAGGCAAATCATTTGAAATTATATTTAGGAAAAAGGAAGTAGAATGGCAACCAGCAAATGAGATAAACAAGTAAGATACAGAATAATAATAGGAGAACCAGGAGATACTCATTTTAAGAAAAAAAGAAAATGAGAGATTTAGAAATACTGGTTGGTATTTTCAAATATACACATGAGTCACTTAATGATGGGGATATATTCTGAGAAATGGATCATTAGGTGATGTCATCTTTGTGAAACAACATAGAGATTACATACACAAACCTAGTTGGTATAGCCTACCACACATCTAGGCTAAATGATATAGCCTTGTGCTCCTAGACTACAAGCCTGCACAGCATGTTACTGTACTGAGTACTGCAGGCAACTGGAACACAATGGTAACTACTTATGCATTTAAACATATCCAAACATAGAAAAGGTACAATAAAAATATGATTTTATAATATTATGGGACCACTGTTATAATATTACCCATTGTTGACAGAAACAATGTTATGCAATGCATGACAATGTTTGAAAAAACAAAGGAAAATGGGCTGAAGAACTAAGATAATGGGGAAAATTTGGTAAAGTGTTAAAACTAAAGACCACATTTACAAGAGAAGGGAAGGGGGAAGTAGAAACTGAAGGCATAGAAACAGGAATATGCCCTGCTTTCTTTACCAGCTCTACTTGGCATCAGACTGTGAAACATTTAAACTTCAAGTGTCATCCATGGCAGACAATTGCTGAGAATTTAGAGGAAAAAAAAATCTATTAGTGTCTTAGGAGCTACTTTCCACTAATACTCGGAATCTGGAATGAGTCTTATTTCCTTTGCAGTGTCCAGGGGATCACAGATGAGCTCCATGCATGACACCAACTGTATTAGACTGTTCTCACGCTGCTAATAAAGACATGTTCAAGACTGGGTAATTTATAAAGGAAAAAGGTTTAACTGACTCACAATTCCACATGGCTGGTGAGGTCTCACAATTATGGCAGAAGGTGAAGGAGGAACAAAGTCACATTTTACATGGTGTCAGGCAAGAGAGTGTGTTCAGGGGAACTCCCCTTTTTTTTTTTTTTTTTTTTTTTTTTTTGAGACGGAGTCTCGCTCTGTCGCCCAGGCTGGAGTGCAGTGGCGGGATCTCGGCTCACTGCAAGCTCCGCCTCCCGGGTTCATGCCATTCTCCTGCCTCAGCCTCCCAAGTAGCTGGGACTACAGGCGCCCGCCACTACGCCCGGCTAATTTTTTTGTATTTTTAGTAGAGACGGGGTTTCACCGTTTTAGCCGGGATGGTCTCGATCTCCTGACCTCGTGATCCGCCCGCCTCGGCCTCCCAAAGTGCTGGGATTACAGGCGTGAGCCACCGCGCCCGGCCGAACTCCCCTTTATAAAACCATCAGATCTCATGAAACTTATTCACTATCATGAGAACAGCAAGGGAAAGACCCATTCCCGTGATTCAATTACTTCCCACCAGATGTCTCCCATGACATGTGGGAATTATGGGAGCTACAATTCAAGATGAGATTTGGATGGGGACACAACCAAACCATATGATTCTGCCCCCGGCCCCTCCCAAATCTCATGTCCTCACATTTCAAAACTAATCATGCCTTCCCAACAGTCCCTCAAAATCTTAATTCATTTCAGCATTAACTCAAAAGTCCATAGTCTGAAGTCTCATCTGAGACAAAGCAAGCCCCTTCTGCCTACGAGCCTGTAAAATCAAAAGCAAGCTAGTTACTCCCTAGATACAATGGAAGTACGGGCATTGGGTAAACACAGCTATTCCAATGGGAAAAATTGGCCAAAACAAATGGGCTGTAGGACCCCTGCAAGTCCAAAATCCAGTGGGGCAGTCGAATCTTAAAGCTCCAAAATGATATCCTTTGACTCCATGTCTCACATCCAGGTCACATTGATGCAAGAGTTGGGTTCCCATGGTCTTGGGCAGCTCTACCCCTGTGGCTTTGCAGCATACAGCCACCCCTCATGGCTGCTTTCATGGGCTGGCATTGAGTGTTTGTGGCTTTTCCAGGTGCATGGTGAAAGCTGCTGGTGGATCTACCATTCTGGGGTCTGGAGGACAGTGGCTCTCTTTTCACAGCTCCATGAGGCAGTGCCCCATTGGGGACTCTGTGTGGGGACTCCCACCCCATATTTCCCTTCTGCACTGCCCTATCAGAGGTTCTCCAAGAGGGCTTCACCCCTGCAGCACATCTCTGCCTGAACATCCAGGCATTTCCATACATCTTCTGAAATCTAGGCAGAGGTTCCCAAACCTCAGTTCTTGACTTCTGTGCACCCATGGGCAAAACATCATGTGGAGGCTTCCAAGGCTTTGGGCTTGCACCCCCTGAAACAATGGCCTGAGCTGCACATTGGTCCCTTTTAGCTACAGCTAGAAAATAGGGTACCAAGTCCCGAGACTGCACAAAGCAGGGGTGCTCTGAGCCCAGCCCACAACACCATTTTTCCCTCCTAGGCCTCCAGGCTTGTGATGGGAGGGGCTGCCACAAAGGCCTCTGACATGCCCTGGAGACATTTTCTCCATTGTCTTGGTGATTAACATTTGGCTCCTTGTTACTTATGCAAATTTCTGCAGCAGGCTTGAATTTCTGCCCAGAAAATGGGGTTTTCTTTTCTATTGCAGCATCAGCCTGCAAATTTTTTAAACTTTTAAGCTCTGCTTGGTCTTGAACAATTTGCCACTTAGAATTTTCTTCCACCAGATACCCTAAATCATCTCTCTCAGGTTCAAAGTTCCACAGACTTCTAGGGCAGGGGCACAATGCTGCCAGTCTCTTTGCATAGCAAGAGTGACCTTTACTCCAGTTCCCAACAAGTTCCTCATCTGTATCTGAGACCACCTCAGCCTGAACTTTATTGTCCATATCACTCTCAGCTTTTGGTGAAGGCTATTCAACAAGTTTCTACAAAGTTTTGAACTTTCTCACACTTTCCTATCTTTTTCTGAGCCCTCCAAATTGTTCCAACCTCTAACTGTTACCCAGTTCCGAAGTCGTTTCCACATTTTTGTGTATCTTTACAGCCACACCCCACTGTCCTGTTCATTTTTCATACTGCTTTAAGAAATACCTAAGACTGGGTAATTTATAAAGGAAAGAAGGTTTAATGGACTCACAGTTCCACATGGCTGGGGAGGCCTCACAATTGTGGCAGAAGGTGAAGGAAGCACAAAGTTACATCTCACAGTGGCGGCAGGCAAGACAGCATGTGCAGGGGAACTCTCCTTTATAAAAGCCATTAGATATCATGAGATTTATTCACTATCACAAAAAGCATGAGAAAAACCTGCCCCCATGATTCAGTTACCTCCCGCTGGGTCTCTCCCACAACACATGGGTATTATGAGAGCTACAATTCAAAATGAAATTTGGCTGGGGACACAACAAGACCATATGAGCCACCTAGGACTTTGATAGCTAGAGAGGTCTTAATCTCTTGGCCTCAATCGATTTGCCTCCCTTGGCTTCCCAAAGTGCTAAGATTATAGGCATGAGACATTGTACCTGGCCTGTGTAGTGTTTTACAGGCAGTGGTCATGTTTTATTTCTTAAAATCGGTAGTGGGTAGGTGTTTGTTTTATGATTATTCATAATAAATATATTATTTGTGTGTATTAAATATTTAACATGTATAATAAGGTATATTTTTAACGGGACAATAGCAATATCAACAACAACTCAATTATTTGTTAATTGTACATCATGTTCCAGCCACTGTGATAGATAATTTCACAGAAACTCTGTTAGATAGTGATTGTTACTTCAATGCTATAGAAAATCTGATAATAGTGAATTACAAGCAAGTGCTATGGAGTCAAAGGGCTTGGGTTGAAGTCTATGATCTTCTACCTACTAGCTGTGTATTCTGGGGTAATTCATATGATGTCCTTATGCCTTCATTTCTTCACCTGTAAAATGACGATAAGAAAGCTATCTACCTCAAAGACTGAGTATGAAATAATCCATGTACAACAGTGTTACTAAAATCCTTATTCCTTTTGTTGTTCTTTTCTTTTTGTGTTGTTTTGTTTTGTTTTTGAGACAGAATCTCACTCTGTTGCCCAGGCTGGAGTGCAATGGTGTAATCTAAGCTCACTGCAGCCTTAACCTCCCAGGCTGAAGCGATCCTCCCACCTTAGCCTTCTGGTAGCTGGGACTACTATCACATGCCATCATGCCCAGTTAATTTTTTATTTTGGTAGAGATGGGGTCTCCCTATTTTGCTCAGCCTGGTTCAAACACCTGAGTTCAAGCAATCCTTTCTCCTGGGCCTCTTAAAATGCTGGGATTACAGGTGTGAACCACTGCACTGGCCCCTTATATTATTCTTACCTGATGGCATCATTCTGCATGGTTCCAAAGTCCGTGGTGTTCCATTGTTTAATTTAAAGGAAGAGATAAGCAGATATGGAAAAGTAGACTAAAAGAGTAAGGAAAATTAATAGATCAAGGTCTCAGCTGTAGGAAAGAATGGAGCAATTTAATCTCTTTTGTAGTTTAGGCTAATAAGAGTTTGTAGTAGTTAATTTCCTTTCAGAAGTAAACATGTCTTTTGAAACAAGAGATTTCAAATGAAATTCATCTAGAGGGTTCTGTTTTGTACCAGCTATGAACATATTTGATTAGCTTTCATAGAAAGACTAGCAATGCTTTTGCTGAGGTATCCATCAGATCATATTTTTCCTTTCTTCAAATATTATACTTGATACATTATCCCACAAGGGGAAAGATTCCAGTTTTCCATATTTTAAAACAGTATACATAAAACATCTTATAAATGAAACCCTAAGTAAGGGTCAGATCAATGGCTATTACTTTCACCTGAAAACATTTTAATCTAAAGTCTGTAAGCACTTTAAAAGAATTGTACATAGTTTCCATGAAGTATACGCTAGGGGTTGCCAATTGCCAATCAATAGAAAATAGATTATTCAGGCTATTCATATCTCAATTGCCATATTAGAGACTGCAACATAATGATTAATGATATGATTCTGGAGCCAGAGTACTTAGCTTTGTCACTCACTATCTCTCTTACCACGAACATATTACTTAACTTCGTGACTGTTTCTTCACTTTTAAAATGGGAAAACTAATAGTATTGACCGCATAGGAGTTGCAAAATTAAGTGAGTTAATACGCTATAGCATGCTGGTCTTAGGAGTGTGCCAGACATTAGTTAGCACTCAGTCAGTACTGAATATGATTATAATTGCAGTTATTTCTTTATACTATTGATACTGTCTTATATCAGAGGAGTTCATTACAATTTATAAGTGGTTGTAAAACAAATGTTGTGAGGTAAGGCAAATTGCTCATTCAATTTATAGTGATTTTTAAAAAATACCATGAAACAAATACTTCTATAATTAAGTTGGGAGAAGACAATGGAAGCTGAAATAATCTTTTAGGTGAAGTGTGGCTTAAATATGTACATATACTTTGAAACAACAATTCACTTATGTTTTTGTCTACCAATAAATTGCAGATATGTGTGCAAAAACAGATAGAAGAGGCCGGGCACAGTGGCTCATGCCTGTAATCCCGGCATTTTGGGAGGCTGAGGTGGGTGGATCACGAGGTCAGGAGTTCAACACCAGCCTGGCCAAGTTGGTGAAACCCCGTCTCTACTAAAAATACAAAAATTAGCCAGGTGTGGTGGTGCATGCCTGTAATCCCAGTTATTCTGGAGGCTGAGGCAGAGAATTGCTTGAACCCGGGAGGCGGAGGTTGCAGTGAGCCGAGATCATGCCCCTGCACTCCAGCCTGGGCGACAGAGCGAGACTCTGTCTCAAAAAACAAAACAAAACAAAACAAAACAAAACAAAACAAAAACAGATATAAGAAGGTTTAGGATATTATTATTTAATAATACTAGCAACATGGCAATACCTAAATGTTCAACAATGAGGAATTAATTTATTAAATCATGGTTAAATAATGTACGATGTTAAAAATAATGTTATTAAAATATTTATTGCCTGGTTGGTAAATGTTATGTAAAACATAAAATGGCTATAAAACAGTAAGTACATTATTATAATGTATAAATGTAAACAAATGTAACTCTACTTACATACGAATTGCATTATAACA
Organism: Homo sapiens; assembly: GCF_000001405.40. Lineage (NCBI taxonomy): Eukaryota > Metazoa > Chordata > Mammalia > Primates > Hominidae > Homo > Homo sapiens. The sequence continues at coordinate 69,336,571 of NC_000001.11, read as the reverse complement.
TACTTATAAATGGGGCATTTCATTCATGGAAATATGGGTTACTTTTTCCTTTTTCCTTTTCTGTATTTTTCAAGTGTTTGTAATTAAACAATATTAGTTTTATATTTATATAAGATTGTTAAAGTAAAATATGATTATGAATATAGAAACATGTAAAATTCAAGTCACAAATATAATAAGAATATTCATGGTGACAAGATCATTCCAAAATGAAAAAAAAAATCAGTTTAAACACGTTTCCCCTCGGATAGATTCAACAAACACACCTTAGTTGATTAAATGGCTTCAAAGACGGATGGAAATTTTAAAATAAACTATTAGTTATTCCATAATGTATATATATTTTAAAAAAACCATATTGAACTCAATAAATACATATGATCTTTTCTTTCAATATAAACAAAACAATAAAAACATTAAAAAATGTATCACAGTCCTAAACTTTTAGGCGATTTTTTTTAAATTAACGTTAGCCAGTTACTAACTTAATTGTGATTTGATTATTTATAATAAAAGATAATGCAACTATAAAGAAATCATTATGTGGATTAATTTATATGCTGAAAACATTGATATTCATTTCATTACTAGAAACTTCATATATTAAAATGTAGAACTCCTGTACATGTATTGATTGATTTGTTTTCAAAAATCATTTATCAAATACTTTGTTATTAAAGCCCTAGGCTAAGCAGTGAACTAGTGAAATGAATTGCATAGTTCTTGCTCTATACGAAAGTACACAACAACTTATAATACAGTATGTTATACTACATTGTATCATGTGTGTTACAAACAATGTGTTAAATGTTGTTGTATATAGTTATAATAAACCCTTGTATTATGTATCAACACTTAAAAGTGAAATGAATTATACTGGGCTGTATTAACTTTCTAAAGGTTTGCAACCGTAGTATTGAGAAATTTCACTCAGCAACTCAATCAATACTCCACATCCAAACAGACACAAAATAGACACCATATTCCAAATTGTGATGCAAAGTTTTTAAAAACCTTAAAGTCAAATATCGTCTTATCAATCTAATTTTATGAAAATCAGCATAAACCTACTTCAGTAATTATTAATCACTCACAGATGTGCTAAATATGGCTGGATTGCTAAAGAAATTTGAGAACTGATATAAAGGTATAATACTTGTCCAATCAAATGTTTTTAACACTTTTCGTGCTCTCTATTTGGCAAACAGATGTTTAGATGCTTGACATAATCAGAATTAAATGTTTTAAGGTATAAAAGGATGAGAGCATATTTGGATTTTCATGTCATTGCCATTCTATAGGATGAGTCTATAATCAGTCAGTCATTACTTGGAGTTGAAAAGAGATTTTTATAATTCAAATCAAAAAGAAATATTCATTGAATCTTCACAAATATAGAAGTGGTTTTAACTTTGATGCCACTCAAAATTAGTGTGAAAAATAATGTCAAAATCATGAGATAGGAAGGGCCAGGGAAACAAGTCTATAACTACAATTCCTGCAAGGTGTCTAGGAGAGAACACTGCAGTTTAGGAGAGAAGTGACAAAAGTCCTCTAAAGCATAGAAGTTCAGGATGACAGCACAGAGAGGAGAGTGAAGCACCTAGCTGGGATTTGCTCAAAGACAAGATGAACTCCTCATTGTAGGGAAAAGGTAGGCATGAGATCGCTGGTGGTCCCCCTTGCCACTGTGGATGCCTGGTATTGTAGCTACAGGAGAGACCCGCAGTCCTCAAAGACCAGGAGCTCAGCATAAGAAGCTGCCTGCAGTCCATGCAGCTGCATTGCTCAAGAGAAGGAAGTCACACTGGGTACCCCCAACTGCCAAGTACACAAGCTGCTGTAGCACAGTACCATTTGAGAACAGTCACTGCTGGAGTGTATTCTGTACTAGGAGCGAATGCCCCTGAGTATCTCCACATCTCTGAGGTCCCACTATCATCCCACCACACCCACATGAAAGGCTGCAGTGCCATGACCCCAAATAGACTCAGAGGTACAATCATGAACCTGGCACCTGAGCCCACTCAGCACCATTCACACTAAAAAATGAGTGGCCCAGCATAGCAGGGAGGTTACTCTCACAAATGGGTGAAGCAAGGCATGTGTCCCCAGGGCCCAAGGATCAGCTATCTAACCACACTGCCACTGCTGATCCTGAATACCACACGCATTTCCTGGGACCAAAGGCTGGCTGACCCAGCACCTGCTGCAACAGGCAACTTTGCTCTTTTGACCAATGGAGCTGCTGTGTGCCACACTCACATAGAACCAAAGCCAAAAATGCCCTACCCAACTTATTCTATAGGGCATATCTACAGGAAAGTCTTTTCTTATGAAGGCTGCTCCATAAAATTGGAATTGGCTACTATCCCACCAGATTTGCAGATATCAATGTAGGAACACAAAAACATGAAAAAGCAAGGAAACATGATACCTGTAAAGGACCACAATGATTTTCCAGTAACAGAACCCACAGAAAAGGAAATCTATGAAATGCCTGAAAAAATAATTCAAAATAATGATTATGAGGAAAGTTTAGTAAGATACAAGAGAAATCAGATGGATAATTCAACAAAATCAAAAATACAATTCACTATCAGAATGAGAAATTCAACAAAGAGATAACTATTATGGAACCTAACAAAAAGAACCTAACAGAAAATGTGGAGTTGAATAATTCAATGATTGAAATAAAAAATAAAAGCAAGAACACCAAAAACAGACAGGTTTAAACAGAAGAAAGAATTTCTAAACTTTAAGACAGGTCTTTTGAAATAGCTTAGTGAGAGAAAAAAAGAAATTAAAAAAAGAAGAAAACTTAAGAGACTTGTGAGACAAAAATGTGAACACATACTCACATTATGGGAATTTCAGAAAAAGAATATATAAAGAAAAATCATAGAAAATTTATTTAATAAAATAGTAACTGAAAATTTATCTCATCTCTGAAAACATGAACATTTAGATCCCAGGAACCCAAAAGTTTCCAAATAGTTTCAACCCACAAAGGTCCCCTCTGAGGCACATTATAGTTAAAGAAGTTTAAAGACAGCAGAAGTGTCAAGTCACATGTTAAGTAATCCCTGTTTGGCTAAAAGCAGATTTCTCAGCATAAATCTTACAAGCAAGAAGAGAATGGGATGATATAAGTGCTGAAAACAAAACAAAAGAAACAAAACAAAACCTACTAGCCAAGAATACTGTACCCAGTAAAACTATCCTTCAGATATGAAGGAGAAATAACATCTTTCCTTAATAAGGAAAAATTGAGGAAATTCATCACCATTAGACTGTCCTTAACAAGAAATATTTAAGGGTGTCCTGCATCGGAAAGAAAAAGGGCAATAACTGCCATCATGGAAGCACATGAAATGATAAAAATCACTTTTTTAGATCAAATATACTAATGGGCATAAGAAAGATATTAAACTTTATCACCACAGAAAACCAACAAATTTCAAAGACAACAATAAAGAAGGGAACAAAGAACATTCAAAACAACCACAAACCAATTACTAAATGAAAGGAGTTAGGCTTCACTTCTTAAAAATAACTTTGAATGTAAACAAATAAACTTCCCAATTAAAAGATATAGACTAGCTAAATAAGTAAAAAAAATAAAAATTAAAAGGCCCAATGATATGATACCTATAAGAAACTCATTTCATCTGTAAAGGCACACATAGGCTGAAAGTAAATAAATGGAAAAAGATATCCCACACTGATAAGGTTTGGCTGTGTGTCTCCACTCAAATTTCATGTTGAATTGTAATCACCACATGTCAGGGGAGGGACCTGGTGGGAGGTAATTGGATCATGGGGCCTGATTTCACCACACTGTTCTCATGATAGTGAATGAGTTCTCTTGAGATCTGATGGTTTAAAAATGTGACACTTCCCCTCTCTCCCGCCACCGTGTAAGATGTGCCTTGCTTCCCCTTCCCCTTCCGCCCTGATTGTGAGTTTCCTGAGGCCTCCCCAACCATGTGGAAATGTGAGTCAATTAAACATCCTTTCTTTGTAAATTATCCAGTCACAGGTAGTTCTTTATAGCAGTGCAAAAACAAACTAATACAGAAAATTAGTACCAAGAGAAGTAGGACATTGCTATAAAGATGCCTGAAAAAGTGGAAGAGACTTTGGATCTGGGTAACAAGCACAGGTTTGAACAGTTTGGAGGACTCAGAAAAATATAGGAAGACAAGGAAAAGTCTGAAACTTCCTAGAGACTTGTTGAATGGTAGTGACACAAATGCTAATAGTGATATGGTCCAGGCTGAGGTGGTCTCAGATGAAGATGAGGAACTTATTGGGAACTGTATAAAAGGTCACTCTTGCTACGCTTTAGAACAGAGATTGGTGGCATTTTGACCATGCCCTACAGATCTGTGGAACTTTAAACTTGAGAGAGATGATTTAAGGTATCTGGTGGAAAAAAATTCTAAGCAGCAAAGCTTTCAAGAGGTAATCTGGCTATTACTGAAAGTGTACACTCATATGCACAAAGACAGAGATGGTCTGAAGTTGGAACTTATATCTAAAAGGGAAGCAGAGCATAAAAGTTTGGAAAATGTGTAGCCTGACCATGTGGGAGAAAAGAAAAACTCACTTTCTGGGGAGAAATTCAAGCCAGATGCAGAAATTTGCATAAGTAACAAGGAACCAAATGTTAATCGCCAAAACATTGGGGAAACTGTCTCCAGGACATTTCAGAGATCTTCACAGCAGCCTCTCCCATCACAAGCCTGGAGGCCTAGGAGGGAAAAATGGTTCTGTGGGCTGGGTCCAGGGCCCTGCTGCTCTGTGCAGCCTTGGGACATGACACTCTGCATCCCAGCTGCTCCAGCTCCAGCCGCGGATAAAAGCAGCCAAGGTACATTTTGGGCCATTACTTGCACCATTGCTTCAGACAGTGCAAGCTCCAAGTCTTGACAGCTTCCACGTGGTGTTGGGTTTGTGGATACACAGAAAACAAGAACTGAGATTTGGGAACCTCTGCCTAGATTTCAAAGAATGTATGGAAATGCCTGGATGACCAGGCAAAATTCTGCTGCAGGGGCAGAGCCCTCGTGGATAACCTCTACTTGGGCAGTACAGAGGAGAAATGTGGGGTTGGGGCCCTCACACAGAGTCCCCACTGGGGCACTGCCTAGCAGAACAGTGAGAAAAGGGCCACCATCCTCTAGGCCTCAGAATGGTAGATCCACCAACAACTTGCATTGTGTGCCTGGAAAAGCCACAGGCACTCAAAGCCAGCTTGTGAAGGCAGCCGCAGGGGCTGTACCCTCCAGAGCCACAGGAGTGGAACTGCCCAAGTCCCTGGGAGCCCATCCCTTGGATGAGCATGCCCTAGATGTGATGTGAGACACAGAATCAAAGGAGATTATTTTGGAGCTTTAAGATTTAATGGTTACCCTGCTGCATCTTGGACTTGCATAGGGTCTGTAGCCCCTTTGTTTTGGCCAATTTCTTCCATTTGGAATGGAAGAATTTATCCAATGCCTGTACTCCTATTGTACCTTGGAAGTAACCAACTTGTTTTTTATTTTACAGGCTCACAGGTGGAAGGGACTTGCCTTGTCTCAGATGAGACTTTGAATCTTGACTTTTGGACTAATGCTGGAATGACTTAAGACTTTGGGGGACTGTTGAGAAGGGAGAATAGTAATTTGCAATGTAAGAATGACAGGAGATTTGGGAGAGGCCAGTGGTGAAATGATATGGTTTGGCTCTCTGTTCCTACATGAATCTCATGTTATATTATCATCCCCACATGTCAGGGGGTTGGGGGGAACCTGGTGAGAGATGACTGGATCATGAGGGTGAATTTCCCAATGCTGTTCTGACAGAAAGTGAATTCTCATGAGATCTGCTGCACTTGCCCTCTCTCTCTCTCTCCTACTGCCATGTAAGATATTCCTGGCTTCCCCTTCACCTTCTGCCATGATGGAAGCTTCCTGAGGCCTCCCAATTTATGCAGAACTGTGAGTCAATTAAACCTTTTTTCTTTATAAATTACACAGTCTCAGGTAGTTCTTTAAAGCAGTATGAAAACAAACTAATACATACACAAACAGAAACCAAGAGTGAGCAGATGTACCTATACTTATATCAAATAAAAGATTTTAAATCAAAAGCTACCAAAAGAGAAAAAAGAAGTCATTATGTAATGATAAAGGGATCAATTCAGCAAGAGGATATAACAATTGTAAATACATAGGCACCCCAAATCAGAGCATATTGATATATGAATAAAATATTATTAGATCTAAAGAGAGAGATCAATTCCAACGCCATAATAGCTGGGGATTTTAACATTCAACTCTCAACTTTTTTTTTTCAGCTCTTTTTTTTCTTTTCCAAACAAGAAGAACTCTGGAAACCATACAAATACATGCAAATTAAACAACATGCTCCTGATCAACCAGTGAGTCAATGAAAAAATTAAGAAAGAAATTGAAAAGTTTCCTTAAACAAATAAAAATAGAAACATAATATACATAACCCATGGAATACAGCAAAAGCAGTACTAAGGGAGAAGCTACAATAAATGTCTACATCAAAAAAGTAGAAAGATTTTAAATAAATAACCTAACAATGCATCTCAAGGAACTAATAAAGAAAGAACAAACCAAACCTAAAATTAATAGATAGAAACAATAAGAGCAGAAAAGAAATAAAATAGATACTTAAACAGAAATTTAAAAGCTTTTTTTTAAATAAAATAAAAACTTGTTTTTTTGAGAAGGTAAACCAAATCAACAAAACATTAGCTAGACTAAGATAAAAGAAAAGAAGACCCAAATATATAAAATGAAAAACAATAAGACATTACAACCATACCACAGAAGTGCAAAGGATCGTTAGAGAATAATTTGAACAAGTATACACTAACATACTGGAAAGCCTAGAGGAAATGGATAAGTTCCTGGACACATAGAACATATCCTGACTGAACCATAAAGAAATAGAGACTCTGAACAGATCAATAATGAGTAATGAGATAGAATCAGTAACAGAAAGTATCCCCAATAAGGAGGGCTAGGAATAGATGACTTCAATGCTGAATTCTATAAAACTTTAAAAGAACTAACACACAGTTTTCAAAATATAATCCCAAAAAAAATAAAGTAGACAGAATTCGTCCAAACTCATTCCATGAGACCTGCATTAGCCTGATACCAAAATCAGACAGGAACACATAAACAAAATAAAACTACAGGCCAATACCCCTGATTGACATAGATGTACAAAATTTCAACAAAATACTAGCAAATCAAATCCAACAGTACATCAAAAACAGTATACACTATGATCAAGTGGGATTTTTCTTGGGAATGCAGGAATGGTTGAACATATGCAAATCTATAAATGATAGATATCACATCTGACAGAATTAAAAACAAAATCCATATGCTCATCTCAATGGATGCAGAAAAAGCACTTGACAAAACTTAACTTCTCTTCAAGAAAAGATCTCAATGAATTAGGTTTAGAAGGAATGTATTTCACCATAATAAACACCATATATGACAAACCTAAAGCTAACATCATACTGAATGAAGAAAAGTTGAAAGCCTTTTTGTCTAAGAGCTGAAAGAAGGCAATGATGCCCACTTTTTCCAACTTTCATGAAGCATAGTGTTAAAAGTCCTAGCCAGGGCATTAGGCAATAGAAAGAAATAAAGAGCATTTAAATTGAAAAGGAGGAAGTCAAATTGGTTTTGTTTGCAGATGACATAATCTTATATATAAAAAACTGAAAGACTCCACCAGCAGCCTACCACTTAAAGCTGATAAATGAATTCAATAAAGTTGCAGAATACAAAATTAATATACAAAAACAGTAGCATTTCCATCCACCCATACTGAGACTAGCTGAAACAGAAATGAAGAAAGCAATCTCATTTACAACAGCTACAAAAACAAAAAAAGATACCTAGGAATAAACTTAACCAAAGAAGTAAAAGATCTCTACAACGAAACCTATAAACCACTGATGAAATAAATTGAAGAGGACACAAGCAAATGAAAAGACATCCACACTATCCCCATAAACGTTAGATTATACACTTTTGTTAGAATTCTCGGGAAAGAAGCACTTTGTGTCCATTGTGGTTACTAGGCTGGGATGAGGTAAGTTTGAAATTACCACAGGCCACCTCATGTAGAGACTGCCTGGAGGGAAGTAGAGCGAAGGAATGAAGAGAGACAAATTCCTAATGGTATTTGCAATCCGTGGTATCCATCTTTACCTAAGGAAAAGAGAATATTTTTATAAAAAATGACAGGAGTTGAGGAGAGCAGGCTGCATACCATCAGAATTTATACATTTCCTTTACGTTTTTCTTTTTGCTCAAGCAGGTTTGAATTAGATTTTTATATCTGAAAGAATCCTGATTAATATGGTAGGCATTTTCTAATTGCTAGATGGAGAAAGGCTTGCTAAGCAAAAAAGAAAGGAAAGAAATTTCAAAAGAAAAGATGTGAAGATGGCACCGATGTCAGTAGATAAAGCCGCTGAGATGCTTCCCATAAGACCCTTTAAATTAGGAAAATAAGATTTCTCTGTGTAAATTTAACCAAGAAATCAACACCTAATGAATAAGAATTAAATATGCAAAATCACATTAAAGATAGAATGTGAATTTTATTCCGGCATATAATCTTCTGAATTTTAAAGGAAATATATGGCTTTTTCTTTGTCAGGCCTGACATTTTAAAAGGTTCCTTAGAATTCCAGACAAAACATCCTCAATGGGTCCTTTTGTTATTATTATTTTTGATCAAGGAATTAAACCCAGACCGTTTGATCCAAATGCCACACCAGTAGTCATATCTTCTTCTCTTCTGTGCTTTATGATGAGGCATTCAATTTGTAAAACTCTGTGCCGAGTGGAGAAGCTCAGAAAAAAAGAGACATTTCTCTAACCTGTTGAAAATCCACCAGGGCTTCTGTATCCACATGAGGGGAGAAAGGTTGAATAAGATTATTTTTAGTGAGCTGAAAACATTGTACGTTAATTATAAAATTGCAGGTTAAATAAGCTAACAAAAAGGAGGACAAGAAATTAAGACAGAGGCGGTTTTGAAACCAAGGGATTTCTCCTGTTGCTGTAGCAGATGCTGGATTTCCTGCTGTGTTCCCTCAGAGAGATGTAGGCATATTCTAAAGTCAGATTTCTTGAGTATGTTCAGGAATTTCATTGTATGGGTTTTAAAAATACACACTAGCACATAAGTCATTTGAGTGCATTCTGGAAAAACACAGTATGTTTGTCTAATCAAGTCTTTGGTCTATAAAGTATTGAATAATTGGCGTGATTAAAAACAAAATATAACTATTTCAATTTGTTATTTTACTTTCACATACAGCTCAAGTATTTGGTCTCTGAACCAAAGTAATTCAATAAGTTCAGTAAACAAACACACACAAGACGTAAGAGTGTCTTACAATCTCCCTACCAGACCTCCACTGCTTGCTTCACCAAATATGCAGTTAATTTTATGGAATTAATCAGCCTAGTAAGTCAAAATGTTTTATTCAGTCACTTTTGTTAAGCCAGCTAACTATTAAGATAAATACTATAGCACCACACTGAAATTAAAATAAGAACAATAGGATTTTTTCCTGGAAAAGAAAATAACAGGAAATGCCCACTATTAACTGCCTCCATTTCAGGATGCAAAGATTAAAAACAAGCTGGGCTACACAGGTAACATCAGAAAAGGATTTATTTCCATTCCATGTCAATTATTACCCTGGGGTTTTGCAAAATTTATCCCAGCTTTAAAATGCTGGCTGGCAAACCATTTTTAGAACTTGCCAACAGAACCACTTTAGCATCCTTCAGACCCTCTTTGCTCTTTGAAGTCTGCACGGTGGCCATATCCAGTGCCCACAGTACTGTTTGCAGTCTGTTTTCTCTGACCCCTGGGAACTTCTGTAATAATGATGTTGGTCCTTTGATATGTTCTTTCAAATTTTTTGATCTTGAAAGTAGAAAATAAATACATCTGCTTAGTTCTAAAACCATTATCACAGAAGAAACCTGTACTCATCTGCTGTTTCTTTCTTTGAATGGTTTTGTTTTCTATTGAATCCTTTTTATTTACAAAATATAATAGAATATAAGAACTGTGTTATGATATTTTAGTTTTCCTTTGGCACCCCAGTTAACTTGCCAGCAGCAATAGCAAGATATTTGTATAGTGGAAGTGAAGGGGCCGGAAGGTAAAATCAAAAGGCCTGCTTCGGCAAGAAATGTTAACATAACAGTAATCAAAACAGCATCAACATGGAAACATAACAGAAAGTTGATGGTTGGGGGCAGCCTGGAAACCACATTTATAGTGGTCCAGTTTGAACCTTCAAGGGCCATGTCAGCTGATTATCTTCATTCTATTCTAGTAGTTGGTTCCTCTGTCAGGAAGCCCAGGAAATCAGATGAGATTAGTGCCTGAGCAAAAACATTGTAGATTCACCGAAGGGGCCTTCTTTTCCTCACTTTGGAGAATCCTTTTAATTTCACAATCTGTGGAGAATTAGTGAGTTACATTTGCAGAAGCACTTGCCATACAGTCTAAAAATGATTGTAATAAAAGGCTTAGAATTCAAGCAAAGTTGGAATAGAACAACAAAAAATAATTTTCGGAAGGTACACTTTTGACCCTCATACAAACGTAAAATAGACATATGCCCAAAATTTATTCATCTCACTAATTAATGAGGGTAATTGAATGATAGTTAAGATGGTTCAAAGACTATTTAGGAACCAGATTATTTATAGGATAATTGATAAAGGAATATCAAAAAGATTACTAGGTTAGAGTAAAAAAAAAAAGATTAGTGTCCTACAGTTAAACTGTAAGGTTAACTTTTCTGCAACAGAAACTATTTCTATTTTTACCTGATAAAAAATCTCAAAATTCACATATAACTTTACAGTCTTAACTCTTAATAAGTAGTAAATAACAAAATCAAACAGTAATATATTCTTCTAAAAAAGTAACTGTAGGTTCTGTGATTCTGTTAAACAATGTTTTAGTGTGACATTGAAAAGATATGCAAACATCCTTTTGCTTATTTACAAGTTTTGAATCCTTTTTCCTACCAACACTAAGCAAAGAGGAAAGTAACATTTGTTTGTCTTTATAAATAAGATGCACCATTATCTCCTCAACGTGTAATAAATGATTAGTCTCATTTTCCCCATTGTGCCCACTAATTGTTTTTAAAATATTGAACCTATTGCTTACCTATTTAGCTCCTTGAAAGAAACTCATCTATGTAGATTTATAATATTTAAAATCTTCAAAGGCACAATGGCTAAATTTGGTGCTAGAAGATTTTTTAAATATATATAACGTGTGATTTCAGATAAAAGACATGGATTGGATAGACATTACCTGGTTTGGTGGATGTAATAGAAGGACAAAGATTAGAAGGGACACTGGAGAAAAACTCTAATATTGAAACCCAAAGAACTTGATGAAATGTCTTTCTCTGAGTTAGATTTGGATTGGGATATTGTGACTTCTAATAGCTAAAAAATGTTCCAAGTGCCTGTGAGCTAACCAGTCTTTGCTTGATCTAATTTCCCTTTAGTCCTACGAGGCCATGGGCAGTACAAAGAAAAATCTGGGGACCAATTATAGCTAGATACTGATTGACAGTGATGTCTTGTATAGCTGATTAATTTAGGGATTTGTCTCAAGAAATTATCAATCTCACCTTTGAATCTCTCTGGGATTAAACATGACAATAGGCCTGACTTAATCTCATCCTTATTAAAAAAAAATCTTCTAGTAAGCCTTGCCCTCATGCTATTGAAAGCAATGGAAATAGACATTATCTCTGCTTCTATAATAAAGTTAAATCTTGGTAGCCAATGGCACAGGCAAAAAATTTTGGGACATTTAACAAGTATGCAAATTAAGACAATAGTAGGCTGTATCTGTATAAATAATTGATCATTTCAAATTTTATATATTGCTGTATAAACATGACCCTTACTTTTAAAAATACATTAGTTGGTCATCCACATGAAGCAGTATTTAATCCCCTAGAAATAGCTTATCGATCCCTAGTCTTTTCTGAGTTAGTTTCTGTGTGTGATTGTGTATATTAAGTGTATGTGTCAGAGAGAAAGATAATATTTTTTATTTTTACTTTTCAAAGAAAGGATCAGTCTGGGGGATGCCAGACAGATAATATAGTCAAGAAAGCCAGGAAGACAGAACATGTGAGCCCTGAGGTCCCTGATCTGTGACCTATGATTTAGAGAAGAGTCCCTCAAAAGACCATGTGATGCAGTAAGTCTCTAGTGAGAATGTAAGTTCTTGAGGAGCAGATATGAAGAATACAAAGATGGAAGTGTGATTTAATGTCACCAGATTGCCACTATGCAGGGAAATCTGTCCAGCAGTATGCAGGGTACCAAGTGTAAATGTTCATAAATGGAAGAAAGATTCTAAAAAGTAATATAGTAAAATGACTTAAGTGAGATCATTATTTTTGCATATTAGATGGTAGACTTAAAAATACTGACCTAGTCTGAGTAACTGTTATAGCAAAAATCATTCTATACTCTTCACAGCGAACCCTGTGATGACAATCTTGACTCAAGGAATAAAGATATAAGTCTGCCCATTTAGGCTGACATAGACTTAGAGGAAGAAGAAACCTAGCAGGTGACAGGGATGGGTCAGTAGTAGACAAACAGAGGCAGGGTAACATGGTATTGAAAGAGCAGAGGAAGGAATGAAAACAGGAGGTGAAACCAGCATAGAGGATCTGGATAGACTCACAAATTAGCCCTGTGGAAGACCAGACAATGAAGTCATAAATGTGGAGATACCTGTAAACTCAGACACTTCTTGGGGGAGAGGCATCAGATTGGCCAAAATATTTGAGAAAAGATTCATCACAGTAGAAGTGCATCTTCCAGTTTGGAAAATTATCAAGACTTTACTGGGTTGAGTAGGGAAACTGCTATAAAACAATTAATGTTGAGAACTTTGTTAAAAATTAATAAGTATGAAAAGCAATAAACTTGACAAATTAAAAATAAAATCTAAGAGGAAATAGAAAAATAGAAAAGTATAAAATAAGATTTTTTCCCTCAGTTCTATTGTACATTTCTTTGCTCCTACTAAGTGCCAACTAGTAATAACCCAGGAGCCACATCTATTGTTCATTTGCAGTGGGTGCCCCTCAGAGTTGAGGACATTTTTCAAATGCCAAAAATAAATTTTCTAATCTGATTGCTAAGTGTGTCATGACTATATAAAGGAAGGTCAAAAACTAATAAAAGAGAAAAAAAGGCAGACACTCTAGATTTGATCTAAATGATGACTATAAGCATTGATTAGCCAAACAAGCCCAATCATAACTATCCGTCTGGATTGTGGCACAGTTGTCCTTCAAGATATTTTCATTTCCTTGTGGTTATTTGACACGTGTATGAATTATTCAGGTAATATTTCTGGTGAATGAGATTAATTTTCTAAAATTCCCAATGAGATCGAAGAAAAATTCCACAAAGCTATGAAATACCTATTATATGAATTATAAGCATGGTAGAAAATAGCATCCTTCTACTAAAAGCCCTAATAAAATCTATTGTATTGACTAAAGAGTGGGAGAATTACTTAATAACATTTTACCTGGGATTTTGAAGGGATTAAATATTGAGAATTAAGGCTCACTTAAATTCTAATCCCCCTATTATTCACATATAAAGAAAAAATATGTAAACAAATACAAAAAATTTATGACCCTTGCAAGATATAATCATTTTTCTATCTACAAACTTCAGATTAAACAGGCTGACCGTGAAAGAGAAGAAATAATGACACTATCTTTGGGGTGGTGGTTCTTTTTGCTCATTAACTATCTAAATTTCATGATTCTTCAATAAGGCCAGGTGAGCATGTATTTAAAGTTTTAAAAATTATGCAAGACAAAATTAAATTTAAGAAGAATTAAATTACATAGGCAGTATCACTTTATAATCATAATGCAGAAACCCACAATAAGGACATAGTTGTCCCTGATACTTAAATGTCATAGTATCAAAATAGTGAAAACCAAATCTTACATGCATCTCTTTTTTCCATGTTAGATTAAATAGAAAAAATATATAAGAACAGAAGGGATTTTAATGGAGCTTATAAGAAAGGTGAATAAATATAGATCCATAGAGAAGTGCAGAAAAAAAAGAACTCACCCATGAAACAGTTATAGAAACAAACTACATATTAAACTGCAAAGAAAAAGTCATTCAATTCCAAATTTGAATTAGTATAGACTGTGTTATCAGATGACAATACAATTCAACTGGAAATTAAGAGCAAATATAAAATCCCCCAAAATCACCTGTCTCAGGCTGTGAAGAGGCTGCCCTTCTAGGAAGTGCACAGAATTAACAACTTGTTCCTGTTGGTGTGGATTCAGAAGCCCAGGGATTGCTTTGGGTGGAATGGCCACCAGCAGCTACTGGGCAGATTTTCTAGGAAGAGTTTCCTTAAAATCCTAGAAGGCATCAAGACTATTTGATTCCGGTCAATTTCACAAGACATTAAAGTGTATCCAAATACACAGATCTTAAACCTGAAAAACCTTATCTATTGGCTGTTGGCATTTTTCTGTATCCACTTGTCAATTTGGAAAACAGCCACAAGTAAAGAAACATCATTTTTAATCCCACCCTTGCCTGATGGTGCACGGCCCTTGTCTGGCAGAGAATGTTTAAAAAGAAGTTCCGGAGAAATTCCTGGAATGTCAATGTCATCAATCTCATGCTTGCTAATTTTATTGCTTCAATATTCTATAGGATAAGTTAATGTTCATATAACAGAAATCACTCCGGGTAGACTAAATAAAAAGGAATTTAACAGAGGGAATTTGGTGCTTCCAAAATCACTGAGAGAGCTGGAGGTCAGTCTGACAGGCTTTAGGCTGAACTTCTAGAAGTTATTCACAGAACAGCCCTGCAGAACTGGCCCACCAGAGAGGCCACCTCTGCTGCACACAGGAAGCTGGGGAATTGGAAACCACAATTATAGGAGGTGGCTGCAGGGTCCTGCTGTTTCTTTTACAAACCAGGTCAGCCTTAGGTAGCTACTCTCTCTCCTCTCAACACTTACCAAGAGGCTAACTAGTGAAAATACCATCATGCTACATTTTTGATGACTAGATGTTAGATTCTAAATTAAGCAGCCATCATCTACATAACAATGAAGATTTCTTTATAAATAGTAGTCAGGTAACACTTATCAAACAGCAACAAAAAATTTCAATAACCAACAGGAAAAGTTAAAAGCACTATTGCTTTGATTCATTTTACGTTACTTTTTTGTTGTTCCTGCGGGATATGCAGTGCAGTTGTGTGGCTAAGCACAAGGCTTTGATGTCAGACTATCTGAGTTCAAACACTAGCATAACTAACCGCGAAAGCCTGGGGAAAATTAATCATGCTGAAATTTAATTTCCTCATCTGTAAAACGGGCATGATAATAACAGTGACTATTCATAGGGTCATTATGCAGATTAAATGAAGTAGTTCCCTGAAGTGCTTAAAGCACTACCGGCACATCATAAACTCTCAATGATGATAAGTTTTATTATCACCATCTTAATAGTTTCTGTTCCCCTTTTTCTTCAAGCACACCACCTCTTTAAGTCATATTCTCACATCTGTCACCATCACTCTAGAGGAAACAATTGACTTCCTACACACCAAAATCCACTGATCTTTTCTTAGTCCACATTCATCTTGATTTCTCTGCTGACTTTGACATTGTTCATCATTCTTATCAATTCTCAGTACCATTTATGCTGTTAGCACATACCAGCTTTCACTCTTTCCCTCAATTCTACCTTGCATGCACAATCTGTTAGAGAACTGTGGCAATATCTGTGTCATATTTTCTCTCTCCATTTATCATCCTAGTGCTAATTAACCCTCATTATCTTACGCCTGTGTGAATTTTTTAGTCACTTACTGATAGGTGCCTTTTAAAAAAAAATGTTGCTTTGCTTCAATTTATTTTGCACACCAACTGGCAAATGACTGTTTTAAAAATACTGATTATGTCATTCTCATGCTCAGAAGTTTTCAGTGAATTTCAATTGCCTACCAAATTAAGTTCAAACACATTGGTCTGGTTTTAAAAAAATTTCTCAGTGTTTCTCCTCCCATGTTTTTCAGCCTTATAACTAAACATTTCCTAAAATCATAGTGTGTGTCACATACTATGCTTCAACTAAGGCCTTTCTCTATATAGAATTTGCCTGGAATGCCCTCTCCCCAGTGATTTCCACCTCCTAAATTCTTATTTGTCTTTCAAAGTCTAGTTCAAATATTTTCTCCCCTAGGAAGATTTCTCTGATAATCAGGAGCAATCTCTCCTCTTATACAACACAAAAGATTTATATCCATCACTGGATGTATCATAATAGCCCTATGTTAGATCTAATTATTTGTAAATACAGCATAACTAGAACACTAGATCAGGAGTTAGAAAACTTTTTAAAAAGCCAGATAAAAAATTTTAGGCTTGGGAGCCATATGGTCTTTGTTGTAACTACTCAACCCTGTTTTTGTAGCAGGAAAGCAACTCTAGATAGCATATAAACAAATAGGCATGATTGCTTATAAAAACCCAGAAACCTTTATTTACAAAAACTTTACTTACAATAACACTTTATTTATAAAATAAAAACAAAAACAATTGGCCAGCCCAAGGACTGTCCATTTCTGACAGCTTTATTAAACCATTGGCTACTAAATGCCAAAATCATGCTATATTTATTTGACTACTGATAATACTACTAGTGAGTCATTGAGTACTTGCCTACATTTTATTCCAGGCACTATGTAAGCACTTTTATGCGTATTATTCATAATCATTACTGTGACTTTAGAGGGTATATTAGTCCATTCTCACACTGCTATAAAGAACTACCTGAAACTGGGTAATTTATGAAGAGAGAGATTTAATTGACTCACATTTCCCACGGCGGTACAGGAAGCATGGCTGGGAGGGCTCAGGAAACTTACAGTCATGGCAGAAGGCAAAGGGGAAGCAGGTAGGTCTTCACATGTCAGAGCAGGACACTGAGAGCTAAGGGGGAAGTGCTACACACGTTTAAACAACCAGATCTCCTGAGAACTCACTCACTATCATGAGAAGAGAACGGGGAAATCCACTCCTATGATCCAATCATCTCCCACCAGGTCCCTCCTCCAACACTGGGATTACAATTCAACATGAGATTTGGGTGGAGACAAGGAGCCAAACCATATCACAGGGTAAGTATTGCTATATTCCACCTGAAGATGAGAGAATTGGGATGCTTATCACAAACTGAAATTCTTCTTATTATGTATTTGTTCACATGCTTGCTGTTGTCTTTTCCTCTAAAGGTAAACTCTATAAAAACAAAGAACAGATCTGTCTCATTTTTTATTGTATCTGGCACAAAATAGATATTCAGTGAGTGCTTATTTAATAAGTGAATGAATAAATACAGCATGGATCAGTTAACCCATTAGCCCGGGATCACAAAAATCGTGAATAACAGAGCAGGAATTCATATTCATATTTTTTCCTTTTTCAGCATTTCTTCATCTTTTTTCAGCAAATATTTTTTGAGAACCTACCATGTGCCATAGGTTATGAGCTCTCTACCATAAAAAACTGCCTGTAATATTGTATATGATAATAACTAATGTTTACAGAGTAGCTACTATGTGTTATATTCTGTTTTGAGTACTTTATACATATCAACTAACTAATAATCCCATAGAGTAAATTGTATTATTATTTCTATTTCACAGATAAAATGTAGGTACAGAAACCTCAAGCAGCTCATCCAAGGTCAACCCTTTAATGACCCAGTGCTTAATGACATTTTACTGTCTTTCAATGAGTAGTTTCTAAATAATGATAAATATTTGCTTCTCCTCACCTTTTCTTTGTTCTTGTTAATGGTTTATGTTTCACAGTAAGGCTACTTTCCCTAGCATTAAGATCCATGTTCTTAAGAAATGATCCTCCTTAAAAATTCAGTCTTAATCCTGGTCAGGTAGGGAATCTCCTTTTCACTTTTTCATCTGTTCCTACTGTTTCCCCAGCCTGAAATACCTTCCATTCCCTCTGTGTCAGTCTAAACACAAGGTTGGAAGCATTTAATACATTTTTTTTTAGTTTAATAACACTATCTTCAAGAAGATAAAAGAAAGTCATTTCACTTTTTTTGTTTTGTTTTGAGATATATATATTTCTATTTTTTTAAACTATTATTTTAGGTTCAGGGGGTACATATGAAGGCTTGTTACATAAAGTAACTAGTATTCCTAGAATGAATATGCCTGTGGGTTGTACCCTAATTTTCAAAATCAATGTTTCATTTTACATGATAATGTGCTAGTAATGTCTATAATACTCTACTTTCAAGTTTTTTCCAAGTCTTTTTACACTTTGTAGATCAAGTTTCTGACTGGTGAGCTATTAATCACATTTTACTTTCCCTTTCAGGTATTTAAATATGCCATTTCTTTATTTCTCACCTGTGATTTGGCTCAGTAGGAACTGTAACTGATCTATTATGGTATTTTACATAAAGACTGCACAACAGACATTTTTGAAAGGAACGAATGAATCAGTATACACATGAATATACACACATATGTATTAACTACTTCGAATTAGAAATCATCTTAAGTTTACCTCCTAAATACTTATCAAATCTCTCTCTGTTCCAATCATTGTTTTACCACAACTGCTTTAGTTCAGACCCTCAGAACTTTTCACTCATTTTTATAACCGTTATGGGACCTGGCCTCCTTACCTCTTAACTTGCCCAAGTTCTCAGTTCATCCTTTTCTTTGTTACAAAACCAGGAAATTTGGTTTTATTCATGGATTATACACTCTTCAGTGCCTTCCTATTGTCCATACTATAGATATAGGTCAAAGCTCCCTAGTACAGCCCCTCTTCCAACCTGTCCTGGTATATCTCCTGGACACATGCATGCTGTACTCCAGTCACCTTGAGCACAAGACTTGCAGCTTCTGGAACATATCTGGAGCACATTCTTTCTTCCTCCCATTCATGGCTGTGTACATATATTCCATGCTACTGAGTGGAAGATTCTTTTTCCCCATTTGTGTGGAATATCCTTTTCTTTCAGGGCAGAACTCTTTCTTAGCTTTCAAGACCCTAAATATCAGTCACTTTGTGAATCCTTTCTCCAAAAATTGAAATTTGTGAGCTCTCTTCTCTATGCCTGTAGCCCCTTATTTTTCTTCCTGAATATATTAACATTGATTACAATAATTTGTTTATAAAGCTATTTTTCCCACTGAACTAGAAAATCCTTGATGGCAGCAACTCTCAAACATTTCCTGCCTTTACCAGTGTCTTCCATATAGTCAGCCTATAATAAATATGCTTAGTGAATAACTTAACCAGTCAATCAATCAATAAGTCTATTCTGACATTAAAGTGGTAAATTTGTGCTGTATAAGAATCTTTCAAAACAAAATTTTGATCCTATATAACATAGATAAAAAGATTTTGAGTATAGCATTACTTAAAATCATGATATGTGGTTACATATGCATGTCGTTATACTTTATTTGGAAAGAAAATGTCACACATCGGGATTAAATTGCCTAAGCAAATAATATCTGGCATTTGAAAATGGACATCCTGCCAATTGAGCTCTAAAAGTTCCTAATTTAAAAAGGACACATGGGGCTTCATGATGGCTGACTAGAGGCACCGGACACCTGCCTCCTCCACAAAGGAGAACCAAAATAGCGAATGGATAATCACACTTTGTATAGAATATCCAAGAGAGAATGCTGGAATCCATCAGAGAAATGACACAAAACGCGTGAGGTACTGAAGAAAAGGGAGGCAAGGCGGACAGCTGGCTGGGATCAGTCAGGAGCCTGGAGAGATGCCCCAGTGCAAGAGAAAGGGCAAATGAGACATCTCCAGTTGTCCACATGCTCACTGGGAACTGCAATACTAGCAACAAGGGAGCCCTTTGTCCTCAGTGGTTCCTGAAACGACCATAGAGAGCTCCCTGGAGTCCTCACGATGGTACTGCTCCAGAGAGTGGCATGTTAGGCCCATGCACACCCCAAGTTCTGGGCAGCTGCAGCATGATGCCATTTTGAAATCCCACCTGCACCAGACTGCATCCTGTTCTGGACCGAACACCCCCTGCATCTCCTTGTCCGTGGAGCCCCACTGATATCTCCCGACATCTGCCTCAAAGGCTGCAGTGGTGCAACGCAGGTTCAACCTAGCAGAGTGGCTGGCTTGCCAGCATTCCAGCCCACACAGCAACCTGCATGCTGGGGAAAGGGCAGCACAGCACACTAGGGTGGCTGCCCTCATGACAAAGGGAGATGAAGCATTTACAGCCAAATAAATGCTCTCTAGAGCCTGAAACCTGCCTGCCTAGGGCCACTGTCATCAATAGCAACCCTGCCCCAGAGACAGGCTGAGTCATAGTGCACTTGCATGCACTCTGAGGACTGCCACTGCCAGAAGCAAAGCATGTGCTTCCCAGAGCCTGACAGCCACCTGCCTGGTACAGCTACCACAGACAGACCCTGAACCCCTCCCCAATCAGCAAAGCTGTCAAGCACTTGAATTCACCCTGAGGACAAGCTCTCCCTGTGCACTGCTGCTGCTGCCACTACCAATGCTAAAGATTGAAGAGTGCGCTCTCCAGAGCCTGAAACCAGCCTGGTTAGTATGGATACCACAGACAGAAAACCCACCCACCTCAGCAGTGGAAGAAGGGCCATTGCATACTTGCTTCTGCCCTGAGGATGGGCTTGCCTCACCTACTGCTGCCTCTGCTGCCTCAACCCAAGCTGGCTGCACAGGACCTAGAGAACACCCTGCACTGCTCACCACAGCCTGTGCCCATGCACACCACTGCCGGGACTGAGGACAAACCTGCCTGGTTAGACACCACCCCGACTTCAGTGCCTGAACATGGCGTCCAGGGGCCTGGATATTGCCCTGCCTTGTCAATCACCCCAGGTGCACATACACAGTACCAGAGACCTAATAACAACCCCAGAACACATGCCTCTGCCAGTGCACTAGCACACTGACCAGAGGCCTGGAGCTTGCCCTACCCTGCTTATATACCCCATGCTCATGTGTGCCATCAGAGGGATCTGAGAATAGGCCTACACCACCTGACACTACCCCCACAACCAGAAACCATGCATTCTACCTGGATTTGTGGAGATAAGCTTACTTTGTCAGTTGCCACGGGCTTACATGTGCAGTACCAGGGTGTCTAACTACAGGCCTAGAAAACCTGCCTCCAGTACCCAGGCAAGCTGTCTGAAGGCCTGGGGATTACTCACCCCATCCACCACTGCTGGCATCTGGGCACTCCTCCAGGGGCCTGATGAAGGGTTCATTCAGCGTGCCACCACTACCACTGCTGACACCACCCACATGTGCCACCTGGGAACCTAGGAACTGGCCCTTTCGTCCCACTGCAGCCACTGCTAACACAAAGTGATGCCTTAGAGGTCTAGGGTTGTCCTATTATTACTACTACCATGACCCATAGCACATATGCTGCCCAGCTGCCCAAAGACTTGCCTACTCACCCACCCCACTGCTGCCACTACTGGCACCTAAGCAAGCAGACGGGACATCAAAGAATTGGCCCTCCTTGACCTGTAAACAATGGTGCCTGTGTACATCACCTGGGGGCCCCAAGGACAGGCACAGCCAGCCACTGCTCCCACTCTTGGTGCCTCAGTACTGACTGATCTGGTTTCACCAGCAAAACCTCACTACAGCATCCATTAAAAACCATACCATAAACCACTGAGGAAATAGCATCATATACCACTGATGCTATTTACAGCCAAAAAAAGATATGAAATTTATACTACTTCACATACCCATAATCAAAGCTAATGTACTCTACCCAACCAACACCATAAATACATATACAGGAAAGTTTCTTCCTCTTGCAAAAGCCAACTCAAAAAATTGAAAGAAGAAACTATTACACCAGATGCACTTATGTATCCACAAAAGATCACAATAACCATGAAAAAGCAGAGAAACATGACACTCCAAAGGAACACAATAATTCTTCAGCAACCAATTCCAATGAAAGAAAATTTGTGAAATGCCTGAAAAAAAAATCAAAACCACGGTATTAAAGATGCTCACTGGCATACATAATAACACGGATAATAAACAATACAAAGTAATTAGAAAAATAACTCAGGATATGAATGAGAAATTTACCAAAGAGATAGATATTATATATATATATAAAGAATCAAACAGAAATCCTGAAACTGAATAATTCAATGAATGAAATACCAAATGCAGTCAAGGGCTTCAACATATAATCCAGCAATCCCACTTTTAGATATTTACTCTAAAGAATTGAAATTAGGATCTAGAAGAGATATAAGCACTCCTATGTTCATTGAAGCATTATTTACAATAGTCAACATATGGAAACAAACTAAATGTCCTTGAACAGAAAATGGATTACAAATGTGGAATAGGATCTTTCCCTTCTCCTTTCTCTTTCTTCTGCCTATTAAACCCCTGCTGCTAAAAAAAAAAAAGGTGGAATATACATACAATTGAATATTTTTCAGCTTTATAAAGGAAGAAAATTCTGCAAAATGCAAGAACATTGATGAAACTTGAAGACATTATGATAAGTGAAATAAACCAGTCACACAAAGAAAAATATTGCATGATTCTGCTTATATGAACAATCTAAACTAGTCATGTTCTTAGAATCAAAGAGTGAAAGGTGGTTACCAGGAGCCAGGGGGCCGGGAAATGGGGAATTACTAATGAATGGTTATAAAATTTCAGGTAAGCAAGATGAGTAAGTTCTAGACATCTTCTGCACAACATTATATCTCTAGTCAACAATGCTGTATTGTACACTTAAAATTTGTTAAAAGGATATATCTCATGCTAAGTATTCTTATAACAATAGAATAAAAACTTAAAAATAAAGTATAAGGTGGGGCCAAGATAGCCAACTAGAAACAGCAGCGTGTGACTCCCACTGGAGAAAAACATAATAAGAGTGTTAATCCTTCACCAGCAACCGACATATCCAAGTTCTCTCATCAGAACTGACTAGAAGGCTGGCGTGACGCGCAGAGAGAAGGAAGAACAGTGTGGTCCTGCGGCCTGAGAGCCACATGGGGCAGAGGAGTCCCCTCCCCGCGGCCAAGGGAGACGCTGAGTGGTGAGTGAGTATGCTACACAGGAGGGGAAACCGTGATTTTTCATGAAACTGTGCAACCCACAGATCAGAAGACCCCCACTCGCTGTAATGCCCAACCTGGTTTTTACTAACCCTGTTTTTAGACTCTCCCTTTCCTTTAATCACCTAGCCTTGTTTCCACCTGAATTGACTCTCCCTTAGCTAAGAGAGCCAGACAGACTCCATCTTGGCTCTTTCACTGGCAGCCCCTTCCTCAAGGACTTAACTTGTGCAAGCTGACTCCCAGCACATCCAAGAATGCAATTAACTGATAAGATACTGTGGCAAGGTATATCCGCAGTTCCCAGGAATTCGTCCGATTGATAATGCCCAAAGCTCCGGGTCTATCACCTTGTAATAGTCTTAAAGCCCCTGCACCTGGAACTGTTTACTTTCCTGTAACCATTTATCCTTTTAACTTTTTGACTACTTTACTTCTGTAAAATTGTTTTAACTAGATCCACCCCCCCATCCCCTTTCTAAACCAAAGTATAAAAGAAAATCTAGCCCCTCCTTCGGGGCGGAGAGAATTTTGAGCGTTAGCCATCTCTTGGCCGCCGGCTAAATAAACGGACTCCTAATTCGTCTCAAAGTGTGGCGTTTTCTCTAACTCGCTCAGGTACAACATCGCAAACCCAGCCACCGGGGCCTAGCGTTCCAACCCCGGAACACGCAGATCCTCATCAGCCTCTCTCACCTGTAATCTGCTTAAGCCTGCTGAGTTCTGGGAGGAGGGGCAACCAGCACCACGCTGTGGCTGCCGGTTGTTTAAGCCCTTGGAGCTCCTTGTGGGAGGGGCAGCAGCCAGCACTGGGACTGGCAACTGCCTAACATACTAAGCTCTTTGGGCAGGAAAAGGGCGACATCCATCTCTATAGCTCCAGGCTGTGCTTTTCCCCTGCTGGAGCCGGGGAGACTGGAGGGTTTGGTCCCAAGACTTGTGCCCCACAGCCCAACACACTGGATGTGGCAGTCTGCAGCTAGAGTGCTTCTTCAGGCCTCCCCCTGACCCATCTGTCCTCACTGGGCGGGGATTCCCTGCAGTAACTCCAATAATTCCAGCCAGAGGCTCACGGACAGAACCCAGATCTTCCTGGGCCTGAGCCCCTAGGGGGAAGGGTGGCCACAGTCTCTGCAGACCAGCAGTTCTAGCCTTTCCTCCTGGTATTTCTGAGGAATCCAGGCAGCCCAGACAAGTGTATTTCCCCCCAGCAAGGCACACCCCCTCCACCAAGGGACAAAGTACTTCATTAGATGGGTCCTGTCCCCCATGCCACCCAACTGGGTGAGATCTTCCAACAGGACTTTTCAGACACCCTATACAGGAGTGATCCTACTGGCATCAGGTTGGTGCCCCTAGAGGTCAGAGGTCGCAGAAGAAGGATCAGGCACCCATCTTTGCTGTTCTCCAGGCCCCTTAAGTGATATCTCCAGGCGTGGGAGAGAATCAGATGAATAGAGCCTGAAGTGAATCCCCAGCAAACTGTAGCAACCCTGCGGAAGAGGGATCTGACCATTGAAAGAAAAACAAGCAGAAAGCAACAACAACAGCATTAACAACGACAACCAAAAAGCCCCACAAAAAACCCACCCAAGGGTCAGCAGCCTCAAAGACTGAAAGTAGACAAACTCATGACGAGAAAGAATCAATGAAAAAATGCTGAAAACCCAAAAGATCAGAGCGCCTCTTCTCCAAATAATCACAACGTATCTCCATCGGAGCACAGAGCTGGACAGAGGATGAGACGGAAGAATTGACAGAAGTATGCTTCAGAAGATGGGTAACAAAAAACTGTGCAGAGCTAAAGGAGCATGTTCTAACCCAATGCAAAGAAGTTAAGAACTTGGATAAAAGTTTAGAGGGATTGCTAACTAGAATAACCAGTTTAGAGAGGAACTTAAATGACCTGCTGGTGCTGAAAAATGCAGCACGAGAACTTTGTGAAGCATACACAAGTATCAGTAGCTGAATCAACCAAGTGGAAGAAATAATATCAGAATTTGAAGACTACCCTGCTGAAATAAGGCATGCAAACAAGTATAGATAGAGAAAAAAGAAAGAAACGAAATGAACAAAGCCTCCAAGAAATATGAGACTTCATAGAAAGACTGGACCTGCGATTGATTGGAGTACCAGAAGGTGACGGGGAGAATGGAAACAAGCTGGAAAACACATTTCAGAATATTATCCAGGAGAACTTCCCCAACCTAGCAAGACAGGCCAATATGCAAATTCAGGAAATACTGACAACACTATTAAGATACTCCATGAGAAGATCAACCCCAAGAAACAGAATCGTCAGATTCTCCAAAGTCAAAATGAAGGAAAAACTGTTAAGGACAGACAGAGAGAAAGGCCATGTCACCTACAAAGGGAAGCCCAGACTAACGGTGGACCTCTCAGCAGAAATTCTATAAGCCAGAAGAGATTGGGGGCCAATAGTCAACATTCTTAAAGAAAATATATTTTTAGCCAGAATTTCATATCCAGCCAAACTAAGCTTCATAAGCAAAGGAGAAATAAAATTCTTTCCAGAAAAGCAAATACTGAGGGATTTTGATACCACCAGGCCTGCCCTGCAAGAGCTCCTGAAAGAAGCACTAAATATGGAAAGGAAAAACTGTTACCAGCCACTGCAAAAACACACCAAAATATAAAGACCAATGACACTATGAAGAAACTGCATGAACTAATGTGCAAAATAACCAAATAGCATCATAATGATAGGAACAAATTCACAAATAACAATGGTAACCTTAAATGTAAATGGGCTAAAAGCCCTGATTAAAAGACACAGACTGGCAAATTGGATAAAGAATCAAGACCCATTGGTGTGCTGTATTCAGGAGACCCATCTCATGTGCAAAGACACACATAGGCTCAAAATAAAGGGATGGAGAAATATTTACCAAGAAAATAGGAAGAAAAAAAAGAAGAAAAGAAGAAAAGCAGGGGTTGCAATCCAGTCTCTGCATAACAGACTTTAAACCAACAAAGATCAAAACAACAACAACCAAAAAAAACCAAAAAAAACCCAAAAACAAAAACAAAAACAAGGGCATTACATAATGGTAAATGTAAAGGTAAACAGTAAATTCAACAAGAAGAGCTAACTATTCTAAATATATATGGACCCAATACAGGAGCACCTAGATTCATAAAACAAGTTCTTAAAGACATGCAAAGAGACTTAGACTGCCACACAATAATAGTGGGAGACTTTAACACCCCACTGTCAGGATTATATCAACAAGACAGAAAATTAACAAGGATATTCAGAACTTGAACTCTGCTCTGGATCAAATGAAGCTAATAGATGTCTACAGAACTCTCTACATCAAATCAATAGAATATACATTCTTCTCAGTGCCACAGGGCACTTATTCTAAAATTGACCACATAATTGGAAGTAAAACATTCCTCAGCAAATGCAAAAGAACTGAAATCATAACAAACAGTCTCTCAGACCACAGTGCAATCAAATTAAAACTCAGGATTAAGAAACTTTTTCAAAACCACACAATTACATGGAAATTGAACAACCTCCTCCTGAATGACTCCTGGGTAAATAATGCAATTAAGGCAGAAATCAAGAAGTTCTTTGAAACCAATCAGATCAAAGATACAATGTACCAGAATCTCTGAGACACAGCTAAAGCAGTGTTAAGAGGGAAATTTATAACACAAAATGCCCACATCAGACAGCTAGAAAGATCTCTAATTGACACCCTAACATCACGAGTAAAACAGAGAGTCAAGAACAGACTAATCCAAAAGTTAGCAGAAGACAAGAAATAACTAAGATTAGAGAAGAATTGAAGGAGTTAGAGACACAAAAAACCCTCCAAAAAAAAATCATGAATCCAGGAGCTGGTTTTTTGAAAAACAAAACAAAACAACAACACAAAAAACAGACCACTAGCTAGACTAATAAAGAAGAAAAGGGACAATAATCAAATAGACACAATAAAAAATGATAAAGGGGATATTACCATTGGCCCCAAGGAAACACAAACTACCATCAGAAAATACTATAAACACCTCTATGCAAATAAACTAGAAAATCTAGAAAAAAATAGATAAATTCCTATATGCATACACCCTCTCAAGACTAAACCAGAAAGAAGTCGAATCCCTGAGTAGACAAATAACAAGTTCTGAAATTGAGGCAGTAGTTAATAGCCTACCAACCAAAAAAAGCCCAGGACCAGATGAATTTGCAGCTGAATTCTAACAGAAATACAAAGAGGAGTTGGTACCATTCCTTCTGAAACTATTCCAAACAATTGAAAATGAGGGACTCCTCCCTAACTCATTTTATTCAGCCAGCATCATCCTGATAAGAAAACTTGGAAGAGAAACAACAAAAAAAGAAAACTTCAGGCCAATATTGCTGATGAACATTGATGCAAAAATCCTCAATAAAATACTGGCAAACCCAATCCAGCAGCACATTAAAAAGCTTACCCACCATGATCAAATCATCTTCATCCACGGATGCAAGGCTGGTTCAACATATGCAAATCAATAACTGTAATCCATCCCATTAACATAACCAAAGAAAAAAACACATGATTATCTCAACAGGTGCAGAGAAGGCCTCTGATAAAATTCAACATCCCTTCATGTTATAAACTTTCATAAACTAGGTATTGATGGAACATATCTCAAAATAATAAGAGCTATTTATGACAAACCCACAGCCAATATCATATTGAATGGGCAAAAGCTGGAAACATTTCCTTTGAAAGCCAGTACAAGACAAAGATGCCCTCTCTCTTCACTCCCATTCAAAATAGTATTGGAAGTTCTGGCCAGGGCAGTCAGGCAAGAGAACTAAATAAAGGGTATTCAAATAAGAAGAGAGGAAGTCAAAGTGTCTCTGTTTGCAGATGACATAATTTTATATTTAGCAAACCCCACCAACTCAGCCTCAAAACTCCTTAACCTGATAAGTAATTTCGGCAAAGTCTCAGGATAAAAAATCAATGTGCAAAAATCACAAGCATTCCTTTACACCAACAATAGACAAGCAGAGAGCCAAATCATGAATGAACTCCCATTCACAGTAACTACAAAGAGAATAAAATACCTAGACTACAGCTAACAAGGGATGTGAAGGACCTCTTCAAGGTGAACTACAAACCACTGCTCAAGGAAATAAGAGAGGACACAAACAAATGAAAAAAGATTTCATCCTCATGGATAGGAAGAATCAATATTGTGAAAATGGTCATATTGCCCAGAGTAATTTATAGATTCAATGCTATTCCCTCCAAACTATCATTAACATTCTTCACAGAATTAGAAAAAACTATTTTAAATTTCATATGGAATCAAAGAAGACCCCATATAGCCAAAACAATCCTAGGCAAAAAGAACAAAGCAGGAGGTATCATGCTACCTGTCTTCAAACTATACTACAAGGCTACGGTAACCAAAATAGCATGGTACTGGTACCAAAACAGACATATAGACCAGTGGAGCAGAACAGAGACCTCAGAAATAACACCACACATCTGCAACCATCTGATCTTCAGCAAATCTGCTAAAAACAAGCAATGGGGAAAGGATCTCCTATTCAATAAATGATGCTGGGAAAACTGGCTAGCTATATGCAGAAAACAGAAACTGGACCCCTTCCTTACAACTTATACAAAAATTAACTCAAGATGGATTAAAGACTTATGTAAAACTCAAAACCATAAAAACCCTAGAAGAAAAAACCTAGGCAATACCATTCAAGACATAGGCATGGGCAAAAACTTCATGACAACGCCACCAAAAGCAATTGCAACAAAAATCAAAATGACAAACAGGATTTAATTAAACTAAAGTGCTTCTGCACAGCAAAAGAAGCTATCATCAGAATGAATAGGCAACCTATACGATGGGAGAAAATTTTTGCAATCAATCCATCTGACGAAGGTCTAATATCTAGAATCTACAAGGAACTTAAACAAATTTACAAGAAGAAATCAAACAACCCTATAAAAAGTGGGCAAATAATATGAACAGACACTTCTCAAAAGAAGACATTTATGTGGCCACAAACATACAAAAAAAAAGCTCAATATCACTGATCATCAGAGAAATCCAAATCAAAACCATAATGAGGTATCATTTCACGCCAGTGAGAATGGCGATTAATAAAAAGTCAGGAAACAATAGATGCTGGTGAGGCTGTAAAGAAATAGGAATGTTTTTACACTATTGGTGGGAATGTAAATTAGTTCAAACATTGTGGAAAACAGTATGGCAATTTCTCAAGGACCTAGAACCAGAAATACCATTGACCCAGTAATTCAATTACTGGGTATATACCCAAAGGAATATAAATCATTCTACTATGAAGACACATGCACACATATGTTTATTGCAGCACTATTTACAATAGCAAAGACATGGAACCAACACAAATGTCCATCAATGATAGACTGGATTAAGAAAATGAGGGGGGCTGGCATCCTATATGACTTGCACCCAGATCAAGAAACGGCATTCACAGCATCCCTGAAGCC
Source organism: Homo sapiens (assembly GCF_000001405.40). NCBI lineage: Eukaryota > Metazoa > Chordata > Mammalia > Primates > Hominidae > Homo > Homo sapiens. Next base: position 69,306,732 of record NC_000001.11, on the reverse strand, counting down.
CCCCTTGTATTCCTAGGCACAGTCACTAACTCTCATCCAAAGGAGCCCTCTATCTGATTTCTAACACCATAGATTAACTTTTCTGTTTGATCTTTATGTGAACTGATTCCATGATGATTTATGTATCTGGATTCTTCCACTCAACTTTTTTTGTGTGTGTGGGCTTTATCCATACTTTTGTATAGAGATGCAATTTCTCATTCATTCTCATTTCTGTATTATACCCCATTGTGTGATTATGATACGGGAGGGGGCAGGGGAGTGCTGGGTAGAAAAAGGCGGGTCCCTGACTAGGGTTCAACCCCCAGGCCAGTGCCCACAGACCTAGGTAAGGACAGGCATTTCTGGTTTTGCGCCCGAATGTCGCATTTTCCAAGACCATCCTGGCCCTCCACGCCCCTATCCTATGCCTATAACAACCCTGAGATCCTAGCAGGCACAGACACAAGTGGCTGTATGTCGAGAGGAACACACAGGCAGAAGAGCACACCGACAGGCACCTGTAGATGTCAGCAGGCTATCGACTGGTGGAACGCTGGGGAGTTTGGCCGGGGTGGTGGGAGGAGAGCCCAGCTGCTGGGTGGCCTGACTCCAGGGAAACCCACCTTCCCACTCCATCCTGCTTCTGGCCTCCCCATCCACCTCGCTGAGAGCTACCACCACTCAATAAAAAACCTTGCACCCATCCTCCAAGCCCTCATGTGATCCAATTTTTCTGGTACACCAAGGCAAGAACCCAGGATACAGAAAGCCCTCTCTCCTTGCGATAAGGCAGAGGGTCGAATTGAGCTGATGAACACAACGACTAAACTGAATCAGAGCACACTGTAACACACACACACTGTAAGCATTCATCTCCAGATGCTGCCGTGGGGTCGGAGCCCCACAACCTGCCTGTCCGCATGCTCCCCCTAGAGGTTTGAGCTGCGGGGCACTGAAGAAGTTAGCCACACCCCCCATCTGTGGGAGGGATAAAGGAACTTTTCTGATTTCAATTATTCCACAATTTATATTCTACTGCTGATGGGCATTGGGAAATTTCCAGTTTGTGGTTTTTACAAATAGTGATTTTTGAACATTCTTATGTATATCTTTCAGTAGACCTCTATATACATATCTATTAGATTTGTATCTAGAAGTAAAATTATGAAATCACAGGGTATACATATGTTGAGTTTAGTAGATTCTGCTAAATTAGTGGTCATAAGTAGAAAAAAGTGGTCATATTAATTTACACCACCACCGGCAATGTATATGAATTTGAGTAGCTCCATATCCTCACTAACATTTGCAATTACATATATTTTTTATTTGCTATTCTAATGGCTATACCTTAGTATAGTTTTAATTTGAATTTCTCTTAATATAAATGACAATAAACTCTTAATATATTAATACTTATTTGTATTTATTATTCTGAAATTTATTGACTGCCCCTTCAAAATATAGAAATAGTATAACCACTTATCATTTCTGCTACTATCACACGGAAGAGCCACTGACATTTCTTACTCGGATATATTAGTCCATTCTCACACTGCTATAAAGAAATAGCTGAGACTGGATAATTAATAAACAAAGAGGTATAATTGGCTTATTGTTCTGCAGGCTGTACAGAAAGCATAGCAGCATCTGCTTCTGGGGAGGCCTCAGGGAGCTTTAATTCATGCAGAAAGCAAAGATGGAGCAGGAATCTTCATGGCAAGAGCAGGACCAAGAGAGAGGAGGGAGCTGCTGTATGCTTTTAAACAACCAAATCTCATGAAAACTCACTATCACAATTGACAGAAACAAGGGGGAAATCTGTGTCCATGATCAAATCACCTCCCATCAGGTCCCACCCTTGAAACATGGGGATTACAATTAGAATGAGATTTGGGTGGGGACACAGAGCCAAGCCGTATCAGATAGGGATACAGATTCAAACCATATCATTGGGCAATTGGAAAGTCCTCTTGACTTGATCTCTTTGCTTTCATTATTGCTCTCCTACAATCTAATCTCAACATAACAGAGTAATTTTGCTAAATTGCGATTCAGATCATGTGTCACTATTCTGCACAAACCCTCCAATGCTGGTTTTATTTACATCTGCAGTTCCCTACATGATCTGGCCCATATTCATTCACAGACTTAATCACCAGTTACTCTTCTTCTTGCTTATTCTACTCTAAATCCACTGATCTTGTACTTCTTCAAATATTGCAAGTGTGTTCTTGCCTTAAGATATTTCTATTAGCACTTCCTTATAATATTCTTATGAAGTCCTTAAAATATTCTTATAAAACCCTTAAAATTTTCTTACAACTAACTGCCTCAATGTCTACAAGATTTTGCTCAAATGTCAGCTTCTGCACGAAGCTCAAACTGACCATTCTTACCCCTGACTCTGGTACTCCTGATATTGTTACTGAAATGCCAGGGGTTTGGTCTAGGTCCTGCTATTCACCACACAGAAAGCCATTCACTGAAACAGTGAGCATTGCCAGGGAAGAAGGCTTTAATCAGGTGCTGCACTTGAGGAGATAGGAAATAATTCTCATATCCATCTCCCTGACCAACTAAAATTAGGGGTTTTTATGGCAGGGAAGAAATGTAGCTATATGTGGGAAAACAGGAATGTTGAAGGGACAAAGAAGAGGAGTTTGTCAATAGGAAGCAGGTGGTTGGTTGGGCAATCATGACAGGTGAGGGGTCCTGCATCTCAGTGTCCAGATGCAGTGATCTGGCAAGATTCAGCTCCTTGATACTATCTGGGAGGACTGATGGCTGGTTTCCTGGGAGGGGAACTCAGATAAGAAAAATAAAACTTTCTCAAGTTTTAAGACTGGGAGAGTCAATTTCTATGTTTATTCAGATGAAACCACAAACATCGGTTCTATGAGAAAATTGGGTGGGTTTTAGTCTCTCCCTTTCAATTTATCATTTCCTCAACCATGGGGAATGTGGTCATCAATCCTTCTGGCTGCTACATGTTGAGGATGGACATTGTCGGCAGGTTGATACCAGGGGTGACTGCATGGCCACCCAGGAATCAAATATTAAACACTATGGGTTTCTTCTGAAACATAATCTTTTTCTCTTCAGTCCCCCACTTGCACCAAAGACAAATCACAGCAGTACCAACCTACCTGCAAAATAAGCTTCAGTCCCACTATAATTGGTCTGACTACCCCACACAGAGTACAGCAAGAATTATTGTCCAACTGGGCTCTCCTAAATGGGCTTTGCTGGAATCTCTCACTAGGAATCTCAGACTTGACTTCGAAAGGCCTCTTGAGCCCAGCCAAGGATCCATTTGCACCTAAAAATACCTGTAAGAATTGAGTGAACCTCTCCTTCTTGAGGACCCAAAACAACTTGAGGTTTCTAGGTCTGTCAGAAAGTGACAGTCTCTACTTTCCATTGGCCAGGAACCCTATGGAAAGGAACTTCATAGATAAACTATGAGGCCAGTTTTTCTAAGGGGTTCTTATTGACAAATGAAGATATGACTTTATCTTCTTCTCCTTTCCATGCCCTCTTTTTTCAACTTTAGCTTTTTTGTTATTGTTGTTGTTGTTGTTTTGTTTTTTGTTTTTTGAGATGGAGTCTCGCTCTTGTTGCCCAGGCTAGAGTGCAATGGCGTGATCTCAGCTCACCGCAACCTCCACCTCCTGGGATCAAGCAATTCTCCTGCCTCAGCCTCCCGAGTAGCTAGGATTACAGGCATGCACCACCATGCCTGCCTAATTTTGTATTTTTAGTAGAGATGGGGTTTCTCCATGTTGGTCAGGCTGGTCTCGAACTTCTGACCTCAGGTGATCCACCCCTAGGCCTCCCAAAGTGCTAGGATTACAAGCGTGAGCTACTGTCCTGGCCTCAACTTTAGCATTTGTTAAACAGGGATTTATTTTTCACATTTGATATTTAACAGATTTAACAAGATCAATTATGCAATACCAAATTTTGCTAGATAGCCCCTGTTAATTCTACTTCTTGAAATTTCTTTTGTTTCATTAATTTGCTTTTTTTGTGGAATTCTATAATGTGAAGTTCAAATCTCCTTTGTTTATTTTTGATATTTATCATTTTCTCTATAAGCTTGTCAGACATTTATCTCCATTTTATTTTGTTCAGTTTTTCATTCCTGTCTTTAGTATCTATTTTCACTTTTATTTATTCTTGAGCTGCTTCTATTTTTTCTTTATTTCTTCTATAATTCTCAAAATTGCTTCTCTGAACTCTTATATCTCTGCCTATAGTGTTGTTTAATAACATTATTTCATTAATAATTAAAAATCCAATATATGGTCATATTTGAGTATAATTTTGATTTATTCATAATACCATCTTTCTGGTGGGTGATTGTAATCTGCAGCTTATTTTTCCTGCTCTTCACTTTGGTTTTTGGTTGTGATTTTTTTTCTCCCCAGCTAATTCTTTGCAGCAGATTTATGTTAGCAGGATACCAAGGCCATATTTTGGGTCAGCAGAAATTTTTATTTGGATTGAGTGAAATCTTTTAGCTTTCACCTTTAGCATGCTAGTGGATCCAGGTAGCTGTAAGATTGCTCACAATGTAGACTTTCTTTCCTATTTTGGTACTTAGAGTCAAACAAAAATTTAAAAAAGTAGCCATTGTTAGGGCAAGATATTCTATTCTCTTTTTTGTAAATATGATATTTTGGTTCTTCCCTTAAGGGCATTTCCTTCATCTTGGAGAGGTTTACTTCGCAGTTTTTCTGAGATCTGTAGCCAGTGGTATTCTGCATCCCCTTTTTATTGTGGTAAAATATATGTAATATAAAATATAACATTTAATGATTTTGAGTGTACAATTCAGTGGTATTAAGTACATTCACAACGCTGTGCAACAATCATCACTATCTATTTCCAGAACATTTTCATTACCGAAAACATAAATTTTGTACCCATTAAACAATAACTCTCCATTCCCCTGGGTAAACTCTATTCTACTTTCTTTCTCTATAAATTTGCCTATTATAGATACCTCATATACATGAAATCATACACTATTTTTCCTTTTGTGTCTGGCTAATTTCACTTAGCACAATATTTTCAAAGTTTATCTGTGTTGTAGCATGACAACAAAATTGTTATGGCAGAATAGTATATTATTATATGTATACATCAGAGTTTTTAAATCCATTCAAGTGTTGATGGAAGAGTTATTACTATCTTTTGGGTATTGTGAGTAAAGCTGCTCTATGTCTTGGTGTACAAGTATCTGTTTGAGTCCTTGCTTTCAGTTCTTATGGGTATATAACTAGGAGTGAAATTGCTGGATTGACATTCTCTTTTTACTCCTACTTCAGCATTTTTGGTGTTTATTACTTGCAGCCACACTTCTATATATTTTGCATATTGTAGCCATAAGACAGCCCATAGTTATAGTAAAGAGTGTTTATGATTCTAGTTTTGTTATTCTTGCTGAATGTGGTGGTATCTGAGAAGAAAAAGTTGGATAATGTGAACTTTATTCTACCACTTTGAACCAGAAATATTTAATAAATTTTTACTGTCAAAAAAGTGTCCAGTAATGCTTATAATATCCTAACTGCTAAACTGAAGTTTCTTTCTTCTATATAAACATGAATAATGAAGTTTAATATTTAAGGGAAAAAAAAATAAATAACCATTAAGCACCTTCTCTATTCTGGGCTGGCTGCTTCATGCCTTAAAATTACATTATTGTAACCTAATTTAATTATTAGAGTAAGCCATGTTAAGGTAATTATTTTACTCTTATTTTATACATAACAATCTGAGACATGCAGCTTGCATAATTTTTCAAAGTCATAGATACAACATGCTAGCCAATTGGGAGGTACACCCAGATGTTTCTGACTGTAATCCATATTCTTTTCTCTATAAAAAAAATTTTACCCAGTGTAATGACTAAATTAGTTTTCAGCAAAATCAAATGTCTCAACTCAGCACCAAAATTATGAATATAGACACTAAAAAATTAGAGACTTTTATGTGTGTTTAATCCATTTGGTCCAATTTAGTATATATCCAAAAGCTACTGATTAAGAGGAGGCAAAAGTTTTTGCTTTTGCCATCGCATGCTTATGTGTCATCTCCAGAGACTAAACTTATGCTTAAAATAGGAAAAACATAGTTTTCCCAATTAAATGGCAATAAAAAGATTACCTCAAGCTATCATTTTTAATGGATCTTTTCTCATGGACATCACAGGAAAATGCTGAATACTGATTAATGTCTACAGTAAAGACTAGCAATGCACACATTTGTGCACCTCTGCTATGAAAATTATGCTTTTCTGGGCTTAAATAAGATGTTAGCACTTTCTCTTGATGAAGATCATTAATTAGTATGACTAAGTGAAAATATGCTCTCAGTTTCAAAATTATATTTAAATGTTATATACCTTGCATTCCACAATAAATCCCTTAACTCAGTGAAACTTATGATTTTTAGTCAAGTTATAAGCCGCTAATTTAATATTTACATAAAAATAATAAAGATTTTACTTTAAAATATTTTCATTGTTTTTTAAGTTAAACATTAAATATATGTGTTCAGATTTCAGTTTGTTTTGATCTTAAGAAATATATTCTTATTTATATACTGTTTTGTTCCAGAAATGACTTAAAACAACATGTAAGAGAGTATGTAAAATAAAATAAGGTGATATAAGTTAAGAGTATAGGAAACCAAAGTAAAAAAAGAAAATAAAGAAATATATACGTGTGTGTGTGTGCATTTTGTAGATATTGGTATGGTGAAGTGCTTTCCCAAGAATATAACCAAAGATATAAACATAAAGAAACATTCTTGTGAGTTTTAATATATTCCAGAAATAACTTTCAACTACATATGACATAAAATCAAAATAAGTTGAAAAAACTACAATATATCATAAATCAAACTGTCAAATACCTAAAGAAAAGTATAAACATTTAAATAAGGCACTTTCAGAAATTCCTAGGTAGCTGGCCCAATTGCCAGCTCTCAGTATCCTAATCAAATCTCAATTAACAATACAATTTTTCACAGCAGAGATGGATACTCAATATTTTTAAAAACTACACTATATGAAGGCCAGAAAATAAATGAAAAGAAAAGAAAACAAAGATGGAGGTACACTTCGATAAAATATTTCTTAAGGGAAAGTTTGAATTGTTTATGTGGGCTAAATTTTAAAAAAAGATGTCTGAAAATAATTCTAGTTGATAAATTAATTATAATACTTTCAGAGTATAAGCTGTTATATAACCACTAAATTACTTTTGCCAAATAGGATTTAAAGATATCAGAAGGCATTTATGATACATTGATAAGTAAACAGTTAGTTAAAATGCAGTGTAGTTCAATTAAAAAAATCTATGTCATTATCTTTTTCTATCTAAACATTCTGAACATACAGCATATTCTTATTTGAAGATTGTTTTGAAGTTATTTCTGGGCAATTTATTTTCATATCTGATTTTTTGTTGATATTACTTTTATAAATTTTTTTACATATATTATTTATTAAGCAAAAACAACACCATGTCACAAAACAGGGTATATAGAGTGATCTCTTTTTTTGTCAATAAAAATATTTATTATGAATCTATTATTTGCTGAGAAATATTCTAGATAATTAAATATTTCATATCTGGCCAAACTAAGCTTCATAAACAAAAGAGAAATAAGATCCTTTTCAGACAAGCAAATGCTAAGGGAGTTTGTTACTACCAGACCTGCCTTACAAGAGCTCCTGAAGTAAGCACTAAACATGGAAAGGAAAGAGCATTACCAGTCACTACAAAAACACACTGAAGTACACAGACCACTGACACTGTAACACCACCACATAAATAAGTCTGCAAAATAACCAGCTAACATCATGATGACAAGATTAAATTTATACCTATGAATATTAACCTTAAATGTAAATGGGCTAAATGCTCCAATAAGAGCACACACAGTGGCAAATTTGATAAAGAACCAAGATCCATTCATATGCTGTCTTCAAGAGGCCCATCTCACATGTAATGACTCACATAGGCTCAAAATAAAGGGATGGAGGAAAATCTACCAACCAAATGGTAAACAGAAAAAAGCAGGGGTTGCAATCCTAATTTCTGACAAAACAGAGTTTAAACCAACAACAAAAAAAAAGAATGGCATTACATAATGGTAAAGGGTTCAATTCAACCAGAAGACCTAACCATCCTAAATATATATGTATATATGCACCCAACACAGGAGCACTCAGATTCATACGGCAGGCTCTTAGAGACCTTCAAAGAGACTTAGACTTCCACACAATAATAGTGAGAGACTTTAACACCCAACTGACAATATTAGGGAGATCATTGAGACAAAAAATTAACAAAGATATTCAGGATCTGAACTCAGCACCGGATCAAATGAACCTGATAGAGATCAACAGAACTCTCTGCCACCCCAATCCCTCAGCCCCCCAAAAAACAATATACATTCTTCTAATCACCACAGGGCACTTACTCTAAAATCAATCACGTAATTGGAAATAAAATATTCCTCAGCAAATGCAAAAGAACTAAAATCATAACAGTCTCTCAGACCACAGTGCAATTATATTAGAAATCAAGTCTAAGAAATTCACTCAAAACCACACAATTACATAGAAATTGAATAACCTGTTCCTGAATGACTTTTCGGTAAATAATGGGATTGAGGCAGCAGTCAAGAAGTTATTTGAAATGAATGAGAACAAAGATAAAACATACCAGAATTTACCTGGGACACAGGTAAGCTCTAGTGTTAAGAGGGAAATTTATAGCACTAAATGCCCACATCAAAAAGCTAGAAAGATCTCAAGTTAACAACCTAACATCACAACTAAAAGAACTAGAGAACCAAGAACAAACAAATCCCAAAACTAGAAGAAGACAAGAAATAACCAAAATCAGAGCTGAAATGGAGAAGATAAAGACACAAAAAACCATTCAAAAGATCAATGAATCCAGGAGCTGGTATTTTGAAAAAAATAATAAAATAGACCACTAGCTAGACTAATAAAGAAGAAAAGAGAGAAGATTCAAGTAGACACAATGATAAATGACAAAGGGGATTTTACCACTGAGCCCACAGAAATACAAACAACCATCAGAGAATATTATGAATACCTCTATGCACATAAACTAGAAAATCTAGAAGAAATGGATAAATTTATAGACATATACATCCTCCTAAGACTGAACCAGAAAGAAACTAAATCCCTGAACAAACCAATAATAAATTCTGAAATTGAGGCAGTAATAAATAGCCTACCAACCAAAAAAACCCCAGGACCAGACGGATTCACAGCTGAATTCTACCAGATGTACAAAGAAGAGCTGGTACCATTCCTGCTGAAACTCTTCCAACAAATTGAGGGGGAGGGACTCCTCCCCAACTCATCCTATGAGGCCAGCATCATCCTGATACCAAAACTTGGCAGAGATACAACAAAAAAGGAAATTTCAGGTCAATAGTTTTAATGAATGTCGATGCAAAAATCCTCAACATAATACTGGTAAACTGAATCCAGCAGCACATCAAAAAGCTTATCCACCACGATCAAGTATGCTTCATACTGGTATACAATATAATATTTGGTTCAACACATGCAAATCAATAAAAGTGATTCATCACATAAACAGAACTAAAGACAAAAACCACATGATTATCTCAATAGATGCAGAAAAGGCTTTCAATAAAATTCAACGTCCTTCCTGTTAAAAACTCCCAATAAACTAGGTATCGAAGGAATGCATCTCAAAATAATAAGAGCCATCTATGACAAACCCACAGCCAACATTATACTGAATGGGCAAAAGCTGGAAGCATTCCCCTTGAAAACTAGCACAAGACAAGGATGCCCTCTCTCACTACTCCTGTTCAACATAGTATTGGAAGTCCTGGCTAGGGTAATCAGACAAGAGAAAAGTAAAGAGCATCCAAATAAGAAGAGAGAAAGTCAAACTGCCCTTGTTTGCAGATGACATGATCCTATATCTATAACAGAACCCCATAGCCTCAGCCCCAAAGCTTCTTAAGCTGATAAAAAACTTCAGCAAAGTCTCAGGATACAAAATCACTGTAGAAAATTTTAAAATTTTCTACATTGAACATGTACTGCATTAGGAACCAGAAAAATTATTTATAAGAAATAAACTGGTTGAAAAATAAAATAAAAAAGGAATAGAGACATAAGTCATTGCCAGAAACTAGGTAAAACATTTAGCTCACAGTCACCTAATCACTTGATCTGAATTCTTATAAGCTAACAATCACAGTATTAAGGCCAGACCTTATGGCTACTTTAAAAAAAAAAAGCCAAAAATAGCATTCTGACATTAAAAAAAAACCAATATACTTGGAAATATCCTCTTGAGGATATTTCTTGACAAAAGAAGATTTAATGATGTATGACATTGTCCTTTTCCTTGGCTAACTCTCACACATCCCTCAAATCAGCAGTTGGGGTATTACTTTCTGTAGTAAGCCCTTCTTTAACCACCAGGTTGCCTTCCATGCTCTTCTTTGTGGCTCCCAGAATACTGTATGTGGCTCTCACCACAACATTTATCTCTGAGTTGTAATTAGTTGGACACTTTTCCAGGCTTCACAAGTGCTGAGACTATCTCTGTTTTGCTTACTGTTGTATTTTTCCCTCAGTCTAATGGTTAGCACATAATAGGTGCTCAATAATTCATTTAACTAAATTCAATTTCACAAGACTATCTCTTACAACTGTCAGTGTAGGCTTAAGTTATCATCACTCCAAAAGACAATCCAGAAGAAGCAACTCTGGAGTGTTTGTAGCCTTTAATATATAATCTGTATGTTTAGGTCTTCACTGACCTAGCTTGATATTTTAGAATATCTGGAAAAGTGAATGGATAGTTTGCTTTGCATGTAATTTTTTTTGTATATTGTATCTCTCAAATAAACTTTGACAAAATTACGTTATAGTTATCTCAAATTTGTTTTGTCACATAAAAGGTACTGGTAAACAGGTATTTTATGCTGTCAATTGTTTAAAGACCCATGTGCCTAGACAGATCATGAGAGACAGGAATAAACATCCATTCTGACAGTTATCTGAAAACTCATCAGTAGGATCAATTCTTTTTTTTTTTAGAAAGACGTTTTGATTTCATTGTCACACATAAGTAAATAGACAATTAAACCTAATTATATTCCTTATGGCACTGCCACAATAGTTTTATGCTTAAAATAAAAGTTAAGGAAGTCAAACTCACAGCTGTTCATGACGTAATTAGACATGTGCTCCAGAGCTGTTTTTTTTTTTTTTAAGGTCATTCAATTTATGTCATTGCTCTTTATAAAACAGTTGAAACTTTGAAACTGTCTACAAAACATTACTTACAAAATACTTGATTTTAGCTTAGATTTTTGCCCATAATTATGTAGTCAAATGCTCTAGTTTGAACTTTATCATGTGTAGTGCTTGTTAGACTTGAATCAAAATCAATATTAACATTCTAATTTTAACATTAACTGGATGATAAATCTAGTTAAATAAATCCCCAACCAGTCAGACAGAAACATTAACCCACACTTGAACTGTTCAGATTTGACTGGTAGCAACTCAAGTGACAATAATAGTGTAGATATTTCAGATCTTCATTAAAAAATCCAGATAGTGAGGACATTAATTAGAAGTAGAAGTCCTACCTGTAATCAATGTGTATTAAAATGTTTGCTATTTTACCAATTTCCGTTTGTTTAACCTTTTTATAAACACACAGTATATCTTTTTGTAACTAAAATAGGACAATTGGTTCTTTAAGTGTTAACTTTAGCATAACAACAATCATTTTAATTCACTGATATATTTAAATATTTTCTACAAAAATCATTGGCTTTAAGCATCACCACGCAATTCACTATGGTTGATTACTGAATTATTATTATCTGTTAGGTTATAATGTTTATACACTGGAAAGGACTTTTAAAATTTAAAATAAACGTAATTTTAAATCAACAAATCAATCATTTTGAGGAATACAAAGTATTGCTCAGCCATTTTTTTCACCTTTAAGATTCTTATTTTCATAATTTTTAGGAAGCATATTTTGGTAACAGACAAACTATTAAAATTCATCTTTATATGACAGCGAGGTACATTTTTAAAAGTTTGTATAAATGACAGCCACTGCCTAATTTTTACCCCAGAATTTTCAAATGTCTGAATATAATTTGTGATAAATTTCATATCATCTCTGAGAAAGCATTGAATAAATCATTTTTAATTAAAGGCCAAATATAATGTGTTAGTCTCCAAGACGCAAACACTGAATTCTATGCACAGCAGCTGCTGGATCATCTCCAGCAATCTGAATTCATTTAGCTTAAAAAACAGTTTCCTGTATTTCTAACCACAGCTTTTCATAATGAAAACTGCCATATTCTTCACATGATTACATCTAAACACATCACTAACCCTCCAACAATTGTTTCCATGCTGTTTCTTTTAAATTTTTACTGTTGAAATCCATAACTTAACTCTGAAATTTTCTTTATGCTCTGACATTTAAAAAGCAATATACTATGCTGTATTTACCACTCTCTAGAAACCTCTCTGAGTTTATGAATTCCCTGCATTTCTTTCTTCTCAACTTGTTCCAGAGTTACCTTCAGTCTTCTGTGCTAGTAAGCCTATGCCTAGAAAATCCCATTTTTTTTGTCTTTCTTATAAGTTTTTCTATCCATAATATTTCTTTTTTCATTGATCAGTTCCTCTTCTTGCTGGTTTAATCCTTGAAAACAACTTTCCCCATTACGGAATTTTTATTCTCTTCTTACATATGCTTAAGACCTGGAGGAGAAGTAACTGACCTCAACTACTCTTTATACTGTGTCTCTTCTTATAGCCATTTGTTCACTGAATGAGCACCTACACAGGTGGTGGCTAAAGATGAATACAACAGGCTGGGTGTGGTGGCTCACGTCTGTAATCCCAGCACTTTGGGAGGCCAAGGCGGGTGGATCACTTGAGGTCAGGAATTCAAGACCTGCCTGGCCAACATGATGAAACCCTGTCTCTACTAAAAAATACAAAAAATTAGCTGGGCGTGGTGGAGGGTGCCTGTAATCACAACTACTCAGGAGGCTGAGGAAGGAGAATCACTTGAATCTGGAAGGTGGGGGTTGCAGTGAGCCCAGATTGTGCCACTGCACTACAGCCTGGGCAACAGCGAGACTCCATCTTTAAAAAAAAAAAAAAAGAAGAAGAAGATGAATACAACATAGTCTCTTCCCACACTGGGGGATGGTTTAGCAAAGAAAAACAGTTGTAAGTAAATAAGTGCAGCAATATAGATCTCAATAAAATTAATTAATTAAGTCATCTACATGTATTTCATTGAGGACTGATATGAGACAAGCACTTTGCTAAGTCCTGAGAGATAGTAGAAAACAAACATGGTCTTCTCTCTTGTGGAACTTATACTTCAATGAGGAGCTAGAAGTTGTATGTAGTCATTTAAATAGCATTTAGGAAACTATTCATTTATCACTCCTGTTTCTTTAGTACTATAACAACATTCTCATGCTTCATGTTCCGAAGATAAATATGGCATTAAATAGAATGCTTTGACCTGTATTTTATGTATATCAGGCTTGTGGTAATGGACTGAAAGCACAATGATCATCACTCCTGGCTATTATTTGCCACAGCTGCATCTATGAGCTGGGGTGGGTCACTGGGAGGTGTCCAGCCACAGGGGTATTTGGAACTGTGATTTATTTTCATTTTACATGGTAATATTTCATCTCGCGAATATCCCCAGATTGATGAAGCTTACAGGGATTTTTTTCCCTTTGCTTATAAATCTCTAAGCACTTGACATGTTGGAAAGAATTTCTACAATCAATAGATATCATGATTTGCCAAAGAAAATCAAGGATAGTGAGAGGTCTCGTTTCCTAGAGAAAAGGAATCCCAATGGCTTCAAGCAACAATTCTTCATAAAAATTTTGTTTAGCTTTGAAGTAAAATCAGCCAATGAATCATAAATTAAACAATTTCATATGCATTTTCTCCTTCAATTTTTATATCAACTCTTTAGGAAAAGTAGGGCAGTTGGTATAAACTGCATACTATAGGGAATAATTAGAATGACTAAAAATCATTGTCAGTAAAAGTCCTTTGTGTCCCAAGGTGGGGGCCCTTCTACTACATTAGGAGAGAGAAATAAGAATGTATCTGGAGAATGGAGAATGTCTGATTTGTGTCAGGAGCCATGCTGGTGAATTATTCATATTATCATATTTAAGTTCATAGAAGAAATAATAGAAATGCAAAATAACGATGAAGCTGATATCTAAAGGAACCATATAGAATAAGAATATAAGAATTCTCAAAGCAGTTCCAAGTAGTAAGTCTATTTGGTCCTGTATTTATGTTTGATCATGGCACTTAGAGGCATGCTCTCAGTGAATGAGCCTCAAAAGTTTTATCTCCTACTGTAGTGATGACAATGAACAAGAACATGTAGAAGATGCTAGACAGGCAAGAAGACCTAGGTTCTGGCTCCAGCTTCCCTACACACACACACACACACACACACACACACGCGTGCACACACACACACACACACACATTAATAGGCTTGTAAATTTGAATAACTCAAACTTCTTTAAATCTCAGTTCTTAAGTCATATTCTCTATAATATTGTCATTATTTTTTACATCACTGGTAACATTACTAGTAATATTGTATTAACACTAGTTACAAGAAGCCTAAATTCACTGACTCATTGTGTGCACTGACTTCTAAAAGTAGGTGGGCCGTCCATGGCTAGAGAGAGGTTTGCTTAGGGGTGAAAAATAATATACAGTGAAAAAAGAACACTTGCTTATTTTGTTTCCAACCCTTTGCCCCTTTGAAAGCGTACAGGCAATGTCTGATCCTGATGAAGCAATGGTGGCAGAGAACGAATTCCCGGTGCCAACTTGTGTTGCTGGCTCTGCAATTCATGTAATTATATGCATGGTTTTCCTGTTTGTTAGCAATAAAGCTAATGAGTAGGCTGGCTGATCCATGGGCATTTCAGCAGCATTCTAGGACTGCTGTCCCACTTTACTGCTGCAGTTTTCTGTTTAAACATCACACCAGTTACATTACCAAGATGCACTGAGGAAATGATTGATAGAGTTGATGAAAAGCCTTTTAAATAAATATCATATCCAAACAACTCTACTAATTCAGCATAAAAGTATAAGATGTTTTGACTTTACAACAATTGTTGATCAGAAGCTCACTATTGTTTTCCATGTGGAATTTTAAATTGACACTGGTCTCATTGTCAGTGACACCCCACAAAATTTCTTCTTTTGAGATGAAAAGATCACATTGAGTGGTGGGCAGACGTGACTGTGGGCCCTTTATCAGGCAGAGCCCTATAGATATTTGGAGCCTTAGTACACATGCAACATCTTTTATTATTCCTTGTAACTTTTTTTCTTTTTTCCTTTTCTATATTTTGCTTTTATGCATGTCCTTGATGGGAGAACAAGAGTGTATTTTTTCAAAGGATGAAGTAGAGTTGTAACATTCTTTACACAGCAGAAAAATCAAATAAGTAAAAATTTTCTTTTTTAGTATTGTGCCTGACTGTGCTCCCAGGAATGTTAATTACCTGAGAAATACTGCCAGAAATAGAGATGCAGGCATTAGACTTTGAAAATGAACCTAGAGTCACATATATATTTGTTAATGGAAAGAAGAAAAATGTTTTCAGAAGGGATTACTGAGCTTTTATAGGTGTTTTTGAGACAGGTTGGATGTAAAAGATTGATATACACTGGGCACATTTGTCTCAGTTCTCGTTCAAAACAGCAGTTTTTGGGATGAATGACACCAGCCTAAGATATTACATAATGTGATATCCTAAAAATAAAATGTCTGAACATCAAATTTCCTCAGTGTCCTGAGGTTCACAAGATGAGTAGGAAAAAAAAGGCTCTGAAATAGGGCACAGGATTGAGAGCTGTGGAAAGAAAGTTAAAGCACATAAAACAAGGGCAGGGAAGCTTAGATAGCACTTCTGTCTGCTTATTTTATCTTCTCTCCTGCTGGAAGTAGAGTAACCAATCTGTTTCCTCTTTGGTCTCATAATTTGGTTATCTTAAGTTTTTATTTAAAATATTTGTTTTCTCAACATTTTGTATTTTATCTCTGTATAATTTTGCAAACCCACAAGGGGATTGTGGTTTCACATTCCATTGAGAAAAAATTCTGAAGTCAGACATCTATATCTGCCAGTTTCTCATTAGTCCAATAAGCCAGGCCTACGTGGGTTTAAACTAGGATGTGAACTCATTCTGACTCCTTTCACTTCAGCTGGCTCTGCAATGCCAACTCCATCCTATGTCCTCCATATCCTTACCTCAATTACCCTTCTCATTTGTACACCTCAAATATATCAATCTCAGATCCTGTGATACTGTGTATTATAATTCCTATCTTTTGTACACAAACTGGGTTTAACAAGTATGAAAAAGAGAAAGTAATCTTTCTAGTACATCCCAGACGCAAAATTAACTTGTGATCTTTTTCTTTTCTTTTGCTCAAGTTAGCTGCTTCTTCAAGAATTGCTTCAGGATACTGTTTCAACAGTAGCCATCATTGCCCGATACAAGTTCTGTTTATGCCTTAGGAAAAAAAATGTAGCATTTTTTGGTTTTGCCTTGTTTTTTTATGATGCTGTCTCCCCGCACCACTAATTCTGAATATCTGTAAGTTATCCCTGTTGTAGGTGATGGGGGAGGAAAGGACATGAGTAAGGGTACATTTTTCTCCTGTCGTTTTCTCTTTTGCTTCTCTAATGTCCTTACAGGTATCAGTCTAGGACATCTGAAGGCTGATATCTTGTTTATAGAGCTTCCAAATAGATCTCTCCTGTTATTCTCTCCTACATCTCTCTTTTATTTTCCTACATAGCTCTTATCATAATTTGTAAAACTTTTTATTGGAAATGGGATGAAGAGACAACTCTTTCTTAGACAGCAATTCTAAATAATAAGCTTAGACAGTCCTCCCTCCAGAGAGAGAAGCTAAATTTTCCTCCCTTTAAGTGTGGGCTGGACTCAGCGATTCCTTCCTAATAAATAGTGTATGAAAGGCTGGGTGCTGTGGCTCATGCCTGTAATCCCAGCACTTTGGGAAGCCTAGGAAAGTGGATCACCTGAGGTCAGGAGTTTGAGACCAATCTAGCCAACATGGTGAAACCCCATCTCTACTAAAAATACAAAAAATATCTGGGCGAGGTGACATGAGCTTGTGGCCACAGCTACTCAGGAGGCTGAGGCATGAGAATCACTTGAACCCAGAAGGCAGAGGTTGTACTGAGCCAAGATCACGCCATTGCACTCCAGCCTGGGTGACAGAGCAAGACTCCATTAAAAAAAATAGTATACGAAAAAGTTAAAATAATAACTTAAAGTTAACAGCTCCAGTGATAAGTCATGTTGCTAGCATGTACTCCTAATGTGATAACATGAAATAGCACTTCACCTATGTGGTACTTTTCCTCAAAACCCATAACCTCACTCTAATCATGAGAAAAACATCAGACAAACCCAAACTGGGAAACATTCTACAAAACACCTTACTAGTTCTTTTCCCAATGTATCAAAGTCATAAAAAGTTAGGGAAAACTGAGAAACAGATGGAAGGAGCCTAAGGAGGCATGACAATTAAACGCAATGTGGTACCCTAGATTGGATTTCAAAGAAAGGACATTAGTGGAAAAACTGGAAAAATCCAAATACAGTCTCTAGTTAGTGGTATTTACTAGCGTTAGTGTCTTAGTTTTGATGAATATCCCATGGTTATGTAAGAGGTCAACATTAGGGGAAACTGGGTGAAGACTGTTGGGAACTCTCTGTACTGTCTCCTCATCTTTTTTGAAAATCTAAAATTATTTCAGAATAAAAAACTTTTTAAAAGAGTGAACATTTTTATTGGGTGTAGATTTGTGTAATGTCTGCTTCTGTCATAGCACTGTAAGTCTCAGAGGTCAATGAGCAGGACTATAAATCTCTTTATTTCTGGGGCCTAGAATCAAAAGAACTCCTGGTAAGAGCTCAGGAAACATGTGTTAACTCAGTGAGTGTAACCGCATGCTGAAGACTTGGCCACCGCCTACTATCGGCTGATTCTAACAGAATTTATACCCACACTAGGGTGAACTCAAGACAGCAGGGTGCAATGTGAGGCCTAACTAATATATTTTCTCACGGGAAAGAAAATCTTACCCTATATTTTCCACTGGCCGCATTCCTTTATTTCCACTTCTAAGGCAAATTTCCTCTGACATGGCTTACTCCAACTACTAAAAGTGAGATCTGACAAGTAAATCAGCCATTTAGAATCTTAGAATTGCAGATCTGGGAATATACTCAAATGATAGGGATGACTTCTTTTTTTAAGGAGTGAACTCCTATTTTTAAACAAAATCACAAGTGAAATGTATGAAAGAGACAAAAGCACACCTGCTCTATTTTTCTTGAAGTCCCACTCATATAGATTTCCCCTTATCCACATGGACCTTCAAGAGGAAGCCGAGCCCAGGGAACTGCAGAATCCAGCTTGAACCACAGAGCCATCTTTTCATTTGACTAGCAAGAAACACCAAAGCTCTGAGAGGTGAAGTGATTTAGCCAGATGTCTGTTATAGAATTTTTGACAAGATCAGGAGAAGAGCCAAAATTTCTTGAGGACGTTTCCTAATGAGTTTGGTGTGGCTTGCTCAGATGCCAATAATGTGTGTTTCCATCCCATTGAAATTCTAATTTATCTTTCCTAAAACAAAGGCATATTTTGACTTTATAAAAAATAAAAATAATACTCTCCATCTCCTCACTTTTCTCGGGATTTCCCTCTTTGTTATTTTTGTGACTTTTTACTAAAAACTGTCTCACATTGTCACAGTCTATTAAGAGAGTAAAGATGAGGACTCTCATTTAAACTTTGTAAATTATGTTTCTCAAAACCTAGTTTCCATGATGACTGTCACATTCATATAAAGATTTATGAATTTCTCTAAAACTAGATTTACCCCATGGACAATTAATTGAAATGTTGAGAAAAGACATTTATATAAAGATTTGTGAATCTCTCTGACACAAGTGTTACCCAGTATATAATAAAAGGTAAAGCTGAGAATGAAACACTTAAATTAAATTGTGTGTTTAGTCTTACCAGATAACTCAGAAAAAAATAAATCACTTTAGGGCATAAATTATACGAATTGCAAATAACAAAGTATGGGGGAAGAAGTGTAATATGATAGCAAACTCACATGAATAGTGCATCAGGGAATCTGGGCTCTGCTTCCAATGGGGTTATAGATTCTATATATTAGTTTTATAACTTTTAAGATTTCAGAAGTGCATAAACAGTTACAGGAAAAAATGGATTTCTATTGAAAAGTTGTATTTGTATACTAATTTATAATTAAAGATATATTTTATTTTATTATAATTAATAATCATAATTATTTTGCTGGGACAACCATGAGGCAAAAGGAAAGCTGCCTTTAGAAAGGCATTTTCTCTGCTCTTTTCTTTGCACAGGGACTACTTTACACCTGTCTGAAGAGTTCTGATATCTGTTTTTACCTTCATGCATTTCTCATGCTAGCACACCTTCCCTGTATTAATGAGGCTTTTCAGTTAAGTTCTTTCCTGCTAATGACGTCTAAAAACTGAAGGCCAAGTAATGAGCAGATCAATAGCTTTCATTAAAGTCTCTTTGTAGAGCCTCTTTTAATTTTATCTCCTATGATGTGACCTCCAATTTGCATAAGAGAGACTACTTACACTTACAGACAGAATTGATTGACTTAACCTAACAAAGGTGGGGGAGCAACTGCCTAATTTAAAGCATATCTAAAAGATGGCAAAATGATTAAGGACTGTGTTATAAATACTCTTATAATCCTTACTTCCGATAGCTTTTAAAATTAAACCCCTGAATATACTGCATTTCTTTTATGTCAGAGATAAAATATCAATAAAATGATTCTTGGTTAAGGGGCAGTGAAGAAGGCAGCAGGCATTTCAGGTACTGGAGACAGAAAAAGAAATGCTTTACCCAACGACATTTGGCTATCTAGTGTTAAAAGTTTTACATTCTGGTTTGTAAAACCAGTACGAGCTCATTTCTATTAAATTTCCACAGTTAATTGTTTTAATGTGACAGAGTTGGCCTAAAAGATTTCTCCATCCCGTTCACTCTCAGTTGCTTCCTTATTCCTATATCATCCTACTATTATTTTCTTTGCTGGCCAGAGACAGATTTCCTCTTTTGTCTTGAAGCCTCTCTTTCCAGATAATTATCTTACCCATATCTATCTTTATGGAATATGCCTGTTTTATAACCTTGTTATTCATACAGTCAAGAGATCTTACAGGTAAATGTTTGAAGTGATGGATGTCCCAGTTACCCTGATTTCATCATTATGTATCAGAATATCACATGAACCCTAAAAATACGTATAACTATCTCAATTGTTCCTATTCAATTTCTCTTTCTTAATTGTTCCTATTACTGTTACTGAATAAGTGCGCAAAATTTAGAAAGACTACATCAGTGGGCAGTGCAGCATTAAATTGACATCTAAAATAATAATACCTAATGTATACTGGTTGCTTACTGTATGACTGGTATTGGGTCCAACGTTTCACACAGCCATCTGAATGAATTTTCACAATACCCTTACTTTAACAAGCACCCAATTTGCACCAGTTTACAAATGAGGAAGCTCCTGCTGAAGGAGAACTTTAACAGTCAGGTTTTAGTCCAAGAAACAAACTATTCCAGGCAGTTTATGCAGAAATGGATTTAACACATAGACTAAGGTACTTCCAAAAAATCACTGAAGAGTGGAAGGAGTGGACTCTCGGTGGGGAGCCTAGGAACACCACCCAAAGAAGATAACAGGCAGACCTAATCTACAGTGAAAAAGGTGGAGGATCAGGAGGTCCCTGCTGAGTTACTCAATCTGAGAACATACAGCTGGAGCTGCACAGTTTAGAACTGGAATACAAGATCAGGGAGCTCTTGAAAACATCACAATTCTCTCTCGATATTTACAAAGCTAGACACTAATGCACTGCTGCAGAAAAAGCCCTCATTTCGATGGTATTTTTAGCCAGAAAAAAAGCTAAGTGCGATGAGAATGTGGTCTACATAATCTCCCCTCCACCTTTCAAGCACTTGACTAAGTGCACCTAATTGGTGAACCTAATTTGCCTCCAGAAGGCTGACTGCAAGAACATCTGTGAAATGTATTATAATTCTCAGCCTTATAAACTCTATAAAGAAAGGCATACTAGAAGGTGGTACTATGAGTACCAAGCAAATAAGTTACATCCGACACAGAGAATAAGTAATTATGACATCATACAGAGCTAGTAATCAGTGAAGTTGAGAGTACAACTCAGGTTGACTGCCTACAAAGCTGGCCCTCAACCACTGTGTTGCACTGCCTCCACAACAAAGATCTTCCACATTTCCAACTGCAGCTTTCTAAGACACTTAAATCTGTATTTAACAGGAAAAATCCTCTTAACAAGAAAGGCCTAGAAATGGAAAAATAGTAGACATTATTTTTCCGTTCTTCCAAATTATTAGCCTATTATAATAATTAATAACGCTATACTTTTATTGGTGTGGTTAAAAATATGGGGCTGCTAGCACTTCATATAAGTTACATCAAACCAGAGAACATGGCTCCTTTGAAATATCGTGTTTTCAAATCTCATCATGCTGTGATCTGGAGGGAAGCTGATTCTTTTGATACTTTTGCTATGATTTTATAGCCTTTGCAATCTATAATTTAGAGCCTAAATATTTATTTCAGAAACATCTTCAAGTTTCTTGAAGAAAAAGATATCTCTAGATATCTTTAAAGTTCAAGGGTAGTCACCCACCATTGTCAAAATGTAACTGACTCTGGTATTCATGATATCCAGAGACATGCTGGGTTGACAGCATTCCTCTGCCAATGGATGTGGTAGGGGAGCACAAAGATGACAATAGAAGGCCTCTCTCCTCTATGCTACAAACTGGAAGTGGAGTGGCAGATACTGCTGATGTTATCCCACCCACCTTATGTTCTTTAACATATTTATATACGTTAAGTACCTTTAAGATTCAAAGAGCAATTTTCTGTGGCTGGGTGCTTTCCTTTAGCCTTTAAAAGAAAATGTTGTTATTATTATTGCTAGCAGCTTCAGTGTTTTCCCTTAAATTGATGTGTCTGGTAAAGAGTCCATAACTGCACTCAGCACATTCATGGGAACAGGGCATGCTACTGGTAATCAGCATATCTGATTTCTCTGCCCTTGACTTAATGTGTGAACTTGACTAAGTCACTCCACTGCTCCCTATCTCATTCATCCTCAACAAATATGACATTTAATATTTGAATAGAATTATTATTCAAAAGAATTTCAGAACTCCTGTTTCACATATCTGCCCAATTCTACATTTTATTAAAATAATACAATGGATTAGTACTTTTTCATAGCTGTTTATCTTAAGAATAAGAATGGAGTGCTGATGAAGCATTTGGCATATTCATTAATTGTTTTTCTCTTTCTGGGGTTTGTATTTGCCAAATTTTTTAATACTCTCTGTTGCAAGGAGCCTACTGCTCTCAGTAAGACAAGGAGTTTGCATTTTCCTAAGAAACAAGAGAAGTTAAGTGAGTGGCAGAAGCTAGTAAATCTGCTTGAAGGAAATACACTGCACATGTATATATAAAAATTGTACTGTTTAAAGGGAAAAAAATGAAATTCCCATTTCTAGATTCTTTTCTTTTCTTTTCTTTTTTTTTTGGTTTCCACATTCCACAACTGAAGTGGCAGGATAATTAATGAGCTGCCAGAGAGTATGTAAACATGCCCTTTTAACAAATAGTCTTGTAAAATAGGGACAAGTATTCAATAATGATCTTTAAGTTTCTATTCTGTGTAAGAAAAATATACAGTGTGCTGGAGCCCTATGGCCTCTTTTACTCTTTGGCACACATTTTCTGAAGCAACATAAGCCAAATCTTTGTATTTATCTTACACGAAAGAGACCAGTATCTTTCTTTTGGCTTGGGTGGCTCACAACTTTTGTTCTTTAAATGAGTGGATATCCAAGGAAAAAATGACAAGGTGAAGTAACTAACAGTAGAGAACTTCCCTCCTAAGACTTACTTGGCAATTATAAAGTTAATTTTTTAAAAGGAGAACTTAGGTACATCAAAATTTTGAAGTGTTTATTTGAGCAAACGGCCTCTCATGAATTGGGGAGCACCAGACCACTAGCAGTTCAGGGCTCCATGAAGAGGCACAAGTGGAAAACTTTTATAAGGTATTCCCAGAAGCAAGACAGAGAAAATAATTATTGGTTCAAGTGGAGAGTCCATAGTTAGAGGTAACTTAATAGTTTCTGACTGGCAAAGTTTCTAGTTAGAATTTAGTTGGTAGTTTCTGATTGGTTAATATTCTGTTTTTCTAAGGTTATGATAATTCAATTTGCTTAGGCAGGAAAAGTCACTCAGCTTAATGGCCTCGCAATTAATTATTCTTTTTACAATTTATTTTGTCTAAATTTATCAGTTAAATTGGAGTACTTTCAAAGTTATTTTCAATGGAAACAAACTTCTGGAATCCCCAAATCTGGAGGATCACCAGAGATTTCTTTTTGTTTGTTTATTTTATCTCATATGGGACAGAGCCAACTGATTTGTTTCTCTTTTATGTCAGTTGTAGCATTCTGCATTGTTTTCATGGCCACTGGGAAGGATGTGGTTCTGACAAAGATAATCAACTTTTTGGTTGATGGAGCTAATTGGGGTGATTTGCTGGCAAGACAGGTTTTCTTTCTCCTTTGCATCTCCTTGTCTTTGTTCTTTCCTCCAGGAGCTGTTTCAGAAGATGATCTTTCCAGACAAAGGAGGACTATTTTCCTACGCCCAAAGGTATTCCTACCTTTTCACACCACTCTGGATTTCAGACTCATTGATGTATGAGACACTGTCTGTTATTTAGCTTGTTATTTTCCTGTAGCATTAACCAGAGTACCTCACCTACTTTTACTTCGAAATTGCAATAATCAATCACCTTTATCAAATAAATTTTTTAAGTGTGACATTTTTGTTGTATTAGTCTCTCTACCAAGCAACTGAAGAAAATATGATCTCCACTCCCTTCAAGTTTATTTCCAAATGGGAACAACTACAAAAAATAGCCCTTAATATTCTTCACGATATTTTCATGCTATTTCATATTTTTTTATTGTTTTATTTTTAATAGTATTTTGCCCAATCCTAATCATATTTATTTGTGTCTCTTTTCCTCATGAGAGTAAATTCTATGAGAGAGGGACTATATTTGCTCTCTCATGACTCTCACCAACATTGTGCTAGTTGATTTTTTGTATATCACTTAAACATCAAAAGTATCCTGTGATTAGGAGTTACTGTCTTCTGTTTTACACATAGGAAACTAAGTCTCAGGATGTTAGGTACAACTAGTGAGTGACAAGTGAATAATTGTTACCTGGATCTGTGATTCTCAAACAAATGTACATTCTACACCATCTTGCCGCTTTTGAAGTTCTACAGGGATGGAAAATCATGTCCTGTATAATATACAAGACTCAAGCTCACCTGTAAAATTGATTCAACTTTGTGGTATTATAACTGTCAAAACTTATTACTACCAAACATCAATAGGAATGACTTCCCTAACTCAATCGGATATGATCCAGGCATGCTAAAATGCACAGATAAAAGGTATTACATAAATAAGATGAATTATTTTTGATCTAATATGATAATGAGTGGTAATAGAACTGTGATAGGCCATAATATGGCTTTGATATTTTTAGTTTTATTGCTATGTTGTAATCACTCTACCTAGTTAGTTTCTTAATTAACTACATATTTTCAACAATGATGCCACCTGATTTCATCCACACTGCAGAACATTTGCTACTTGTTTGATTATTCAAATATAGCCAATCTTGTCATCACTGTAATAGCTAACACAATAACATTAATATCATTCATTGAGTATTTAAAATACAATATCATTTGATTGGTAAGAACCTCCAATGCAAGATCTTTTTTTTTTTGAGACAGAGTCTCGCACTGTTGCCCAGGCTGGAGTGCAGTGGCATGATCTCTGCTCACTGCAAGCTCTGCCTCCCGAGTTCACGCCATTCTCCTGCTTCAGCCTTCTGAGTAGCTGGGACTACAGGCACCCGCCACCACACTTGGCTAATTTTTTTTTTTTTTTTTTTTGTATTTTTAGTAGAGACAGGGTTTCACCGTGTTAGCCAGGATGGTCTCAATCTCCTGACTTCGTGATCCGCCTGCCTCTGCCTCCCAAAGTGCTGGGATTACAGGCGTGAGCCACCGCGCCTGGCCAATGCAAGATCTTAATACCTTTAACAACCTTACATGGTATATATATTATATTATTTTCATTTTTTAGCGAAGAAGTGTGAGGTTTGTAGAATGTGAGTAATCATCCTATCAAGGCTCAGCTCAAATGTTAGCTACACAAAGGGATTCCTTAATCACCATATATTAAGTAGAATTCCTGGTTTCACATATTTCCCTATACCACTTCACATTTTATTTCTTTACAGAGTTATTTTTAAAATATATAATTAACCACTGTGTGAAATTATATACAGTTGATGCTTAAACAACATGGGCTTGAACTGCCTGTGTTCACTTATATACAGATTTTTTTCAGCCAAATTTGGAATGAAAATAGATAATTCGTGAGATATGAAATTTCATATTTGGAGGGCTGACTTTTCTTATTTACGTGGTTCTGCAAGGCTGACTATGGAACTTGAGTGTCCACAGATTTTGGTATATGCCAGGGTGCTGGAATCAATTCTCAGGGATGCCTGTGTATTTATATGATTACTTAAAAAAAACTTCTCTCTCTTATAACTACAAACTAAGATGCATAATGCAGTGTGCAATTTTTCTTACCACTGTATCCCTAGGGTCTGAAACACTGAACAGCACAGAGTTGACACTAAATCATTGTTTTTGAATAAACAATTTGATGTGGAAACAACGTTTGGAGCTGAGAAGAGAACCCAGGACTTTTTACTTCTGGTAAAAAGAAAACTGAGTTTGTGCATTTTTAGAATTTGAGATTTGAAATACTGAGAATTTCTTTTGTTTTATCTATATTTTCATAGCTTCTTTTAAATTATATTGGGTTAAGAAGATTGAAAGGGGAAATTTTTAATCTGCTAACCGTAAGGACTGTATTCAGATTGATGCTCCCAGATGCATCTGATTTATTTATGAGAGCAAAAATCTTCAACAGGCAATAAGATATTATACTCTCCAAAATATATTTATTTTAAAATTGCCCAAAGTTTCACTCTTCTTTCTTTGATTGGTTGAGAGTAGTTAAGGCTTACTTAAACTATCTCTTTGTTAAGGCTCATCCTCTTTGAGTCTGAAAATTGAACTTTGATGAAACCTCTTTTGGCTCATTTTGGTACAAATTAGAACAACTTAAGAAATGAGGGCTCAGGAACTGAATTTGAATTAGGATGACTTTAAAAAGTACCAGTCAATTAGCCAAGAAGGCAGCAGAGGTGAAATCATTTCATTTGTGATCATGCCCGGTGGGGATCTTAATGGCTCTATCTGATTAGCTTGCCTTTTTTACTTCTCTGTCAACCTATACCCAGATGGCAGAGACAGGGAATTGAGTTGTATCAAGAATTTGTGAAGTTCTTCTGCAAGGAGCTTCACATTAGTGAAGTATACTAGCAATTGATGCCAAAGGAAGACAATGGGCTTTAATAAACTCTGGTTTGAGAACACTGTATTTGCAAAGCATCTGCCACATGTGCTGCTTTGGCTTTAATGGTCTTTTTAATCTAATTTAATTTAATTTTAAATTAATTAATTAATTAAGTTGTTTGTTTTTTAGACAAAGACTGGGTCTTGCTATGTTACTCAGGCTGGATCTCAAACTCCTGGGCTCAAGCAATCTTCCCACTTCAGCTTCCCAAGTAGCCCTTCTTTTATTTTAAAACTCTTGTTGGGTAGAAACATGAATCAATGCAAGATTTCTAAGTAAGTAAATTTTATTACATGATGTTTAGGTTCTCACATAGGTGCATGACTTTTCCGAAATAGATAGAGAATACCACATGTACTACCAAGCTTAGCATTCAGCTCTCTCGTCGGCAATAACAAAGCACATATACTCAGAAGTACAGTTTTACCAAGAATGTGATGAGTTGTGTTAAATGAATTCTAGCCTAAATCTGCCTCCTTACATATTCTAAGTTTGGCCTAAAAATTTCTCCATACAGAATGAACCATAACCTAACTGGATATGGAAATAGACTGTAACCTACTCTTGTGCCAGTCACGAAGTCTGGCCAGTCAAAGGCAGCCAACTGTTCAAATCATGTTCAGACAAGGCAAAGACCACTGGCCTGTAACCAATCTGGCTGTTTCTATACCTCATTTCATTTTTTATATCTCACTTTCCTTTTTCTATCTTTAAATGTTCTTCCACCATGTGGAACCTTACTGGAACCATGTGGAACCATGTGGAACCATGCTGGAACCTCACTGGACCTATTCTGATTTGGGTCTTGCAGGATTTGCCAGTAATTCTTGGCTCAATTAAACTCTGTTAAGTTTAATTTGTCTAAGGTTTTCCTTTCAACAGTTGGGTGCCTGATCTGGGGGCTGCCATAAGCCTGCATGATCTCGGAGCTGAGTTGAAACTGGGAGGGAGGGTTAAGGTCAGTGTTTCTCCAAGAGTGCCATGAGGCAGCATTATTATGATTATGAACCAGATTTTTTGTTAAAAATCATCAAGTTAGGGAATCAAATTCAAAGGACAAGGCTATAAGTATGTAAAAAAACATGAAAACATTTTACAAAATCTAAATCTGTATCCAGGAACATCATAGAAACAGAAGTGGGATGGGTGTGGACAACTACCTGAGTGGATGCAGAGCGCTTGGTGGAGTTTCCATGTAAAGAACAGTGATGTCCACGTCCTGTCATGAAGGTGACAATGAGGGCAACTTGGAGGAAGAGAATAGGGCCAAGTATATTGATGGATTACTTACTCTGAAAATGAGGGTTCCAGAAAGCTAAAAGACCTTGATACAGCTCATAGCAGTTCATAAAAACTGCACTTGTTCTCAAATATGAACTATCAGCAGCACTGCCTAGTTTTCAAGTCAATTTGTTCCAGCTACTATAGATGACTTTTGTAGTTAGTAACACTCCTAAATCAGTCTTTTAGCCTATTCCCTTTCTGAGGACTACAACGGGGAATCATTACTTTCCTATTATTAACAAATTCACACAGTTGTTTATAGAACTTTTCTAGGTACTTTCATATAGCTTCTCTTATTTGATCCTTGCAATAGTTGTGATGTGTGTGTGTGTGTGTGTGTGTGTGTGTGTGTGTGTGTATTAATGTCCTTTCTCTGAGGTTGAAGAAAAAAAAACACAGAGAGGTTAATTGACATGGCCAAGGCCACAGAGTTTGGAAGCAGCAGAACTGGAACTTAAATCTGAGGTTTCTAAATCTAAACTCTGGGTCTTCTGGGAACTTTATTCTACTCTAGGATCAAAGACAGTACCTGGGATCCTGTATTACTAATGGAAGGAAAATTGCATCAGGGGACTCTGGCTGACAGATTGATGGATTGATTAATTTATTCATGTATGGTCTACTTCCTGCTAAGCACTGTTCTAGTTACAGGGGATTTTAAGAACAACAATGTGCTCTTGTCTTTAAAAAGCGTATCATCTTTTGTTCAGTAGTATAAAAATACTTGCTATATTATCAAAATAAACAGAAGTCTGAAGTGATTGGTGGTAGAGTATAAGACAGCAGCACAATATACAAGTAGAATGCAGACTTGGAGTTAGACCACCAGTGTTTAAATCTCACATCTATAACTTATAAGTTGTGTGACTTTAGTGTAGTAAGCAATCGCCCCGTGCCTCAGTTTTCTCATTTGTAAAATGGACTTGATCTTACTGTATAGGGCAAGTTAGAAGATTAAACAGGTAATATTTGTAAAGTGTTTGATACATAATAAGCAGTAAAGTTTTTTTTTAATAAATAAAAATAGAAATCAGGAAAGGCCAAGTCACACAGCTAATGATGGTGGAACAGCAATAGGAAATTAGTCTGTATAAGTGTAGAACCAAGGACCTAATGACTAAGCTTTAATATAAAAATTCTAGTCTCATGTTGTGAAATCCAGGCTGCAGTTTGACTTGATTATTTGTTGGGCAGTGGGATTAAGTTGATCATATATATGTTTGGTAGATACTATTGCAGATGGATTGGGGGGAGGAAGAACTGAAGAGTATTAAGTCATGAAATTGTTCAGGTGAGGCATAATGAAGGTTTGAACTCAGGCTAGATAGAACAAAGCAAATAATGAGTAAAAAACTGAGGGTGCAATTTGTTGACATTCTTTATTATTGGATTCAGCCTATGTGAAGGACCCCAAATGCCTTTCTGTCTTTAATAGCCTCACGGCAATATAAACATAAGAAACTGTTATTTAAGTCCATGCTGTAGAGAAGGTAGCTCAGGCCCTGACAGATTAATTTCAAGCACACAGGGTCATACAGATGGTCAGTGGTTCTCAGTCCTTTAATTTAATCCCTAGAATGCCCTGTGTCTTCACACTTTCTTCTTATCTAAATGATCTCCCATTACTGACTGCAAGAGAATGGACATTTACAAAGCTAATCAATACCAGTTTAATATATCAGCTTCAATCCACTTTTCTTAATGACGTGGCATTAACCCAAAGAGCCTCTTCAAATCAGCAAGGTTCGGATTCTCTCATCTATATGCCCGGTATTAATCCATCCTTTTTCTTTCCATTTGTTCTGCCTTCCCTGTCCCTCTGATCATCCTGTTTTCTCTCCCTCTTCTTTCAGTGAGATACAGACTATACAAAGTACACTGACCTTAATAATCATAATAATAGTATCAACCAAAGCAGCTCCCATTTATTGAACATTTGCTATGTGCCTGGTACAGTTTTAAGCACCTTGAATTTATTAACTTATTTAATCTTCACATCATCCCTATAATGAAAGCATAATTTTTATTCCCATTATATAGGTAAGGAGTCAAACCTACTTACTTCCCAGCATTATCAGAATCAAATAAAGTAATAAATGTGCTAGCAAACTGCAATATATAACACAAATTCGAGCTGTGATTAATTCATGTTTCTGACTTCATTACCCAACAAAGTGAAATCTGACAACTCTACTTAACCTAGACTCTTAAAACCTATGAACAATAACTGGAGTGGAGAGCAGATGCTTGCTATTTAATAAGGCTTGTTCTAACAAATAACAAAAGCTCTATAGTTCCTGTTTACTTCATTGAAAATGAATTTCTGTTCACTTTGGATCAGGTCAGGCATAATTAGGATTAAGGATTAACTGGACTTGAAAAGTAATGAAACATAAGTGTCATCTATCTGGCTAATATATCTGAATTAAAAAGATTAACCTGAATGACTGAAATGCACCGACCTTGTGTATTTAATTTCTGTTGTTTGCTCAAAATATTGAAGGATGGACTTAGTGAGAAATGGACTCTCCACAGGAGGCTGATTTTGTCATCCCACTAGACCTTACTACAGCTATTAAGACTAAGAAATTGAGCTCAGGGTAATAGGCCACAATGCTGTAGAAATATGACTTCTCTTAAAATCCAAAAACATTTCACCTTCACACACTCCCTATCTCATTTCACATTTATCACTGCCATCATAAATATGATCTCTACAATATCCATTTCTCTTCCCTTGTGTCTAGTAGAAATGTTTTGTGAAAATGGCTCTATCAGAATTACCAAAGAGCTCCTCGTGGTCAGATCCAATAGTCTCGCCTCTGTCTTTACCCTTTCAACCATTTCTTAACAACTTCCATTAAATTGGTTTCACTTTTCCTCTCTCCTAAAATTTTGTTTCTTCAAAATATTCAGTTTAAATTATTCATCTCAGCCTTCTCCTCTAAAAGTTTCTGTCTTCACTAGGCCTCTCTAGAGATATTTTCCTCTGAGTTTTGGCCTCAACTATTTTGTATTTTCTCTCCCCTCTCCTTTCTTCCCCTTTCTTCACACCTCTCTCCTTTTCTTTCTCTCTGTTCCTCTCTCCCTCCCCTCTCTGTCTCTACTCTCTTACTCTTTCTCATGGGCTCAAATGCTATAACTGTCTTTCTAAATATTCCAAGATCTTCCAAAATGATGGATGCCTTGCTCTCTGGGCTAAACTATACTTTGATTTCTCTGGTTGCAGTGAGATAGATATTTTGGAACATCAATACACAAACTCCAGTGAAGGGATTTCACTTTCCTTTAATTCCCTATTAAGTAAATGCCAAGCAATACTGCATTTGGATCTTTGTCAAAGATGGGATTTTTCAATGTTCTAAGAAATAAGGGCTCGCTTAGGGAAAAGAGTGGACATGGAAGGATCTTTGGTAGCAGCCTAAGGACAAGCTTCTATGGGCAACACTTTCATCAAGGGAGAAGAGATCATTCTGATTCTTATCATTATCCTCCTTATGCAGAAATTAAGAAATATCCAAGCATAATTTTGTTTTGCTTTATTCAATATTCAAAGGAACATATTTTCCTGCAAGTTATTTATTTAGGCATGTACATTAAAAGATTAAACAAAAGTTAAAAGCCTTTGAGTAGGAGATTTTCAGGTGTTGTATAATCTCTTAAAGTAGAGAAGCAGCCTACCTTTTTGGAAAGGTTAATCCCATATTGACAATCTCTTGCTTAAGAACAATAGAAAATACCATTTGTTAATCCCATTTGCTTTCCACGGAAAGGAAAAATTGCTACAAGGTTGTGTGAGGAAGAGGATTTTCCTGAGGACTGCCCTTTACCAATATGATATTTGAGCTCTAAATACAATATTTCACACTCTGTTAGGTAATACCAAAGAGATGGTAGGTAGATTTTGTAAGGGAAAAAATTAATTTCTTTTCCTCACCCATTGCAAGGTTCATCGTTGTGGCCCCTATAACAAAAGATTAACAAAAGAAGAGCATACAAATATTTTCACGTAAATTTTACATGACCATGACAGAGGTTCTTTAGAAATGAAGACCCCCAAAAACAGGGAAACATGTATTCTTATTCTTAGGTTTCTTCTTAGGTTTGATGAAGAGTAGACAGTGGTACAGAGGTATGATTGAGCAAATGGGGACTGATCTATTGGTAATAAACTGAGGGAAATTTAGCAAGTTCTGTTTGTTCTTTTTGATGTGTCTGTGTCTTGGAGGATAAGAATGCTCCTTAGTGCCAACTATAGAGAGGGTACCTCTGGAGTGAAGATTTTTATGATCTACTTCAGGGGAGAAAGGCGAGGGGGAAGAGAGAGCAGCTTTCTGCTGCCGTTTTCTCAATTGCCAAGGTGCCATATTTTGGGGCAGTGTGCCCTGAACCTCATCAACTTCTTAAATGTATATAAAATACACAGAATTAAATTTACTAATTTACTAACTTAGCCTCAAAATCTCCTCAATGTCTGTGATGGTTAATTTTATGAGTCAAGTTGACTGGCCTACAGGATGGCCAGATACTTGGTAAAACATTGTGTGTGTGTGAGGGTGTTTTCTAAACATATGAGCATTTGAATCAGTAGACTGAGGAGAAAAGATCATCCTCACCAGTGTGGGTGGGCCTCATCCAATCCACTGAGGGCTTGAATGAACAAAGAGGTAGAAGAAGGGTGAATTCACTCTCAACTTAATCTGGGCCTTCCATCTTCTCCTGCCCTTGGACATGAGTCCTGCTCGTTCTTGGACCTTTGGAATTGAACTGGATTTTATCTTTGGTTACCATGGTTCTCAGGCCTTTAGGGTTAGACTGAAGCTATGCTATCAGCTTTTCTGGGTCTCTGGCTTGGAGACAGCAGATCTTAGAACTTCTCAGCCTCCATAATCATGTAAGCCAAATTTTCAATAATAAAATAAAATAATAATAATAAATCTCCCTCTCTACATATCTATACATATGTCCTGTTGGCTCTATCTCTCTGGAGAACACTGATTGATATAATGACTGTATTTCCAATGTAAAATTACATAGTAAAAATCAATTTAATGCCACAAACTTTAAACCTCAGGGTCAATTTTGCCTGACTTTTCTACTTTATTCTACATAAGCAATCAGTCCCCAGATTTTGTTGCCATGTAGTATTTATTGAACATTGAGTACATGACAGTTAAATAGACGTCCCCCTCTTCCATTCCCATTGCCACTGCCTTAGTCACTTCTCCCATGAACTACTGTGTTAGTTACCTCACTGACCTCCTGGCATTTAGCTTCTCAGTTTTATAAGTTTATCTTTTGTCTCTTTCTTTTCTATGTCTCCAGGATAGCTCTTCCTGTGGCTTTCTTTGAATGGTTTACTTAACGTTTCTATCTTTTAAATCTTTGCACACTTTGTTCTTTCTTCTTCGTAACTCTTGCTCATATTTTATGCCTTAACGTAGAGGTCATTTTCTTATGTTATTTGTCCTTCACTAACCACTTTTCCCTGAAAAAATAAGAATAAAATAAACCTGAAAATTCACATAAACTAGGTTAGAAAATCTTTCTGAACTGCTCCAAAGAACGTTCGTTTTCACCTCTCTAGTGCTCATCTCATATACCATTATCATTGCTCACTGACGTGTGTATGCCACAGCAGCCAGGGAGGTGTATGAGGACAAAGATAATTTCTTTCTTGCTTTTGTAGCACAGTGCTTAGTACAGAGCAGTGCTCAACAAATATTTGTTGAATAAACTGATGAGTGTTACTCTCTTACTCATTTGTTATTTCACATTTTTATTTATTCACTCGGCAAACACTTATTGTTTACTATTGTTTAACACACTGTGATAGATGCTAGGTGCTAAAAGTCACAGGCTTGCCTTTTCCTGATGGATTAACTTCAAGTTTCAATTAAACAGCCAAGGCTTTCCACAATTTGATTCCTACTTGCTTTTTATGAGTATCATTTCCTCTTTCTTCCATAAGTACCTGTCCATAAACCTTGCCAAATAACTCATCATTCAGACTCTTCAGACTACTCACTACCCAAAT
Source organism: Homo sapiens (assembly GCF_000001405.40). Taxonomy (NCBI): domain Eukaryota; kingdom Metazoa; phylum Chordata; class Mammalia; order Primates; family Hominidae; genus Homo; species Homo sapiens. The sequence continues at coordinate 69,272,545 of NC_000001.11, read as the reverse complement.
ACCACATGAACATTCATAACCTTGTGACTTTGATCCTTCTTCTTGTTCAATGTTAAATACACACCAATAAATTAATTTTTATATTAATTTAATAATCACTTATTGTTAGATATTTGCTAGTTACTTGGTTGACTGCTGTGATTGTGTAGGTTTATACATCATAACATGTCTTCTTCTGGAGTTTGTCTTCATAATTTTGAGCTTTTATCCATATATCAGGGTTCTCAGCTCACCTTCTCCACAAAGCCTTTCCTGATAACCCAGTCATGATCAACTCTCCCATTTCTTCTCCTCCTTCACATTACAATATTTCCAATATTAAATCTAGAATATTTCTTACATACAATGTAAGAAATATGCCTACCACTTATTTTATTCTGCTTGGTATTTATGGTCAGTTGCATATATATATATATATATATATATATATGTAAATATATATATATATATATATATGTAAATATATATATATATATATATTCTTCCTATACCTCTCAAAAGACAAGAAACATGCCTTCTTTACTTCCTGATATCACAGTACCAGGCAAAATAAAGGCTAAATAAATATGATCCGTGCAGATAAATTACTCAAAATAAGAATTGCTTGCCAAAGAGAAAAGTTGGCTGAGAGTTTTCTTTGGAATGCATTAAAGCAAACAGTTTGCTATAAACTCTTGGTCTGTTACAGTGTACAGTGGACGTAAGATTCGGGTCCCTTCAACATTTATTTGTTAATAACCTAAACCCCATGGAGATGGTATTAGGAGGTGTGGACTTTGAACCGTGATTAGTTCATGTGGGTGGAGCTTTCATGAATGGTATTAATGCCTGTATAAAAAAGTCTCAGAGAGCTAGCTAGTCATTTCACGTGAGGCTTCAATGAGAAGATGACCATCTATGAGGAAATAGGCATTTGCCAGGCACCAAAATTACCTTGATCTTATACTTCTTAGCCTCCAGAACTATGAGAAACAAATAGTTGTTGTTTATAAGTCATCCAGTTTATAGTATTTTATTATTAATAGCAGCCCTAATTGATTAGGATAGAAAAATGGTACAGAGAAATGGAGGTACTGCTGTAACACATATCTAAAAATGTGAAAGAAGCTTTGGAAATACAGACAGAAAAGCCATTCTGATGAGTTCTCAGATGGAAATGAGGAACATATTATTGGGCCATGAAGGAAAGACTGTGTTTCTTATAAAGTGATAGTAAATAACTTGGCTGAATTCTGCTTGGTTCTAGTGTTTTGTGAAAGATAGAATTTGTGAGCAATAAAATTGGATATTTGGCTGGAGAATCTCTAAGCAAAGCGTTGAAGGTGTGGCTTGGCTTCTCTTGAGTGCTTACAGTTGTGACAGTTAGCAGACTCAAAATGGGGTCACTCGTGTTAAAAACCCTGACAAATGGAGCCTAAAAAAGCTATAAAGGGAGGGTTCTCAGACATGAATACCTGATAACAAGAACGATCATAAAAGACTCAAAAACTCCAACCTTTCACAACAGCCATCTCAACTTTACACAAAATAAAATTTCTGAGAGGGCATCTGTCCAGCAAATGCTTGTCCGACCTCAAACCAGCATCATCTTTGTTACTGATTCTTGTAGCCAAACGTAAGTATCTGAAAACAATTTGGCAATCCTCCTAATTTTTCCTTTAAAAAACCCCTGTCTTCTCTTATTTTCCTGAATATGCATAGTTCACTATGGCATGTACATTCCCATTGCAATGTCCATTCCCAAAATAAATATCATTTTCTTTTAGAGGTCCCCTTTCTGTTTCTGTGTCTGTTATCAGGTTGAATTTTGCTGAATTGTGTTCATGTTCCAGTTTTTTTTTAATATCAAAATTGTGAGAGATAAAATTGGATATTTGCCTGGGGAAATTTCTCAGCAAAGTGTTGAGGCATGGCTTGGCTTCTTCTAAGTTCTTATAGTAAGGTTAGAGAAGAGAGAAATGACTTAAAGATGGATTGTTAATCAAAAGGAAAGCAGAACTTAAAAATTCGGAAAATGCTCAGCCTAATTCTATTGAAAACAAATCAAAAGACCTGTTTAGGATAGAACAATGGTATGGCCAAGATACCATTTGATAAGAAAATTAGCGTGGATCAGCAGTTTCAAAGAAGCCAGGTGCTATTCATCAAGACAATGAAAGAACAACCCTGAAGGCATTTCTAAGATCACTGCAGCTGTTTCTCCAATCACAGGCCCAGAATACTAGGACTTGAGGGGCAAAATGATTTCAGAGTACCACAGTACCCACCCCTCCAGAAGGCACAGGGAATAACCCTTAAGCAGCAACCCAGCAGAGTGTTCTCTGTGCTAGAGTACAGAGTGAACCAGCCATGGTGGCCTAGCTACATAGTCCTAGATTTTGAGGGATGAAACCATGAAGAGTCTTAAGACACAGGCCCTGAGAGAGATGTCATTTCAGAGAATCCCTACCAAGGAAATGCCTGGTGAAGCCACCAGTGTGAAACTTTAGCTAGGAGAGCTATGGCATGGGCTATTCCCAGCAAAGCCTAGGGACTGGGGCACCTGGAGCCTTGGGCACCCAACTCTCACACCAGCGTGTATGGAAGGCAGAACATACAGTTAAAGAAAATCATTCTCCAGCTTTAATGTTTTTTGCCCTGTTGAGTTTTGGACTTAGGGATCTGTTACCCCTTTCTCCTTTCCTATTTTTTTTCTTTTGTAATGGAAATGTCTAACCCATGCCTGTCCCACCATTGTATTTTGGAAGCATGTAACACATTTGATTTCACAGCTGGAGAGCAATTTGCCTCATGACAAATTCTACGTGAGTGTCACCCATATCTGATTTAGTTAATATTTAGAGTAGACTCTGGAGTTTAGACTTTTGATTTGATGCCAGAAAAAGTTAAGGCCTTGGAGCTACTGGGATGGAATGACGTGTTTTACATATGAGAAGGACATGAATGTGAGGGGTCAGGGGTGGAATGCAATGAACTGAATGAATGTTTATGTCCTTCCAAAACTTATGTGTTAAACTCCTAACCCCAGGATGAAGGTATTTCCTAATACCTTCCTAATACCAAAGGTGGGTCCTTTGGGAGGTGATTAGGTCATAAGATTAGAACCCTTATGAAAGAAATGAGTGTCCTTATAAAAGAGACCCAGAGAGCTAGCTAGTTGCTTCTGCCATTTGAAGACACAGCAGAAACTCAGCAGTCTGCAACCTGGAAGAGAGCCCTCACCAGAACCCAACCATGCTAGCACCTTGATATCGGACTTTCAGCCTCCAGAACTGAGAAATAAATGTTTATTGTTTATAAGTCACACAGTCTAAGGTGTTTTGTTATAACAGCCTGTATGGACTAAGACACAGTATAAACTCTATTCTGTCTTTCTCAAATTTGTATTCTGAACACACAGCACAGCCTGAACATATTAAGTACTCAATATATTTATTGAGCTCATGAATGAATAAATAAACCAATTAACTGATTTTCTGTTAACTAGCTATGTGATTAAAAATTCAACTCTTTGAACTTTGGTTTCTTCTTCTATAAAATAGTACACACAGTCTTAACTCACAAGTTCTTTGTGAAGCTTAAGCAAAAACGGCGGACCTCACTTGCTGAATAAATGCATTAATCATTGTTATCATTTGCTAATTTTAAAGTCATGTATTTAAGGATCATAACCACACCTAAGGTCAGAATGATTTGTGGGCTCATTATTTAGAAAATTTAAGCAAGCAGTCTATCAGTCTTCTATAATTTCTTTTCACTTACTTTGCTCAAAAATTATATAAAGATAGCTGAAAGTAGATTTTTTTTATGTTCTCTGCTTCACTTCCTAGAGCTCTGAGATACAGATAATTTTGACAAGGGAGTTTCAGTGTATTTATTTAATGAATATAAAATCTTAGCATTCATTTGTACCACCGTGATCGTATCATTATTTTTCCTCTTAATGAATGCAAAAACTTATTCTCTATGACTTTATCGTCACCAAGCCTCAGCATTAATACATTGAATACTGGGGATTCCTATATGATGTCCTGTTTTTTATTGTTGTGAAATTCTTCCTTTCTTCAATTTTCCTATAACTTCCAAGAATTGTTCTTGTTTCCCCTTCTGGCACTGCACCAGAAAATTCCACTTCTCCTTTGAACCATCTGAACTTTCATTATCTTAAGGTAGTTATTTACTTGGTCTTTAGATTTGTTTTTATTCAGTTAACCATTTCCAGGTCCTTTAACCAGTCTTATACCATATAGTTCCTGAATCTCCTGGCATTCTAGTTGTCTTCTAACCAAATCAGATTAAATTGTGTTGTCTATGAAGTATTTTTTATATAATTTGTGGGGCCCAGTAGAAAATAAAAATGTGGATCTCTCTTTTTAAAAAATACACATATTTAAAGATAGCAACAGATAAATATTAAACTAACTGCAAGGCCGTTTTAAGTGAGGGACCCTGTGCAACTACACAGATTGCATGCTTGTGGAGCTGGCCCTGACTCTATGAAGAAAATTAATGTGTACAGCTTTCTATAGGACCTCAAAAAGGGTTAGAAACCCTATTGTATGATCACATTGCATACTATTTTCATCTGAATATAGTGCCATAAATCTAATTAGTCTAGGACAATCCCATCACTCTGCAATTATTAACAGACTCTTTTTGCAGTCTCAAAGTTTACTAATTTGAATGATAAATTATGTGAGTACCCTACCTCTGAAAGCAGGAACCCCTCTATCCTGTTAGTGTGAACAGTGCCCGTATACTAATTGACAGCTTAACACATATGAAGGGATACTGATCACAATGTGAGATCTTAGAAAAATTTGACACATTGCCAACTAACATAAAATCTCAATTTTCTTAAATTTCTGTGTCATAGTGTTCCATATTGACATCCACATCTATGCACAAATATTTGTTGCTCTCCTGCACTTTTGGTTTAGGCCATATGGTCTCACTCATGAGGGTTTACTGGATTCCACCAGGTAGAATGATCAGTTCTCACTTTTTTGTGCTTCTCTATAACTTTGTTGTTCTTATCTATTTAATGATCATATGATTGAATTAAAAATGTATTTTTATGAGCCTAATTCCACAATTAGTCTATAAGATCCTATTGGACAGGAAGGTTACTTATGATGTTAATCTATGTCTTTGTGGATTGTTAACATATGTGTGGAATAAGTAAATAAAATGTAAAAAAGTAGGTATAAGTTTCAGTTTGAATTTCTAAGGAGAAATTCCTCTTTTATAGTTCACATATATATAAAATACATGTACATGTATTATACATAGGTATAATACATGGGACTTCATAGATGTCATAAGTGTCATTAGAAATCAGTGGGAAATGGTGAGATGTTAGTTAATTTGCACTGGAATAATTGGCTTATAGGTATATGCAAAAAAATCAGTATCCTAAGACCATATTCAAAAATAAATTCCAAATTGATGTATACAATATATGTATGTGTGTATTCATTAATATTACACACACACATCCACATAAACACACACACAAATGGATAACTTAGATGTTTTGTAAAACTCTTCTGCATGGTGGAGAAGATTGTACCACAGCAATATTGGACTCAGCATTGAATAGAACCAAAGAGTATACTCAGAATTATCATTCATAGAACAGAGGCAGAGGAAAGAGCACATAAACTAGCATTCACTTGGGAGGCTGAGGCAGGTGGATCACTGGGTCAAGAGATGGAGACCATCCTGGCCAACATGGTGAAACCCCATCTCTATAAAAATACAAAAATTAGCTGGGTGTGGTGGCATGTGCCTGTAGTCCCAGTTACTCAGGAGGCTGAGGCAGGAGAATCACTTGAACACGGGAGGTGGAGGTTACTGCGAGCCGAGATCAAGCCACTGCACTCCAGCCTGGGAGACAGAGCTAGATTCTGTCAAAAACAAAAACAAAAACAAAAACAAAAACAAAAACAAAAAAACAAAAACAAAAAACAAAAAACCAACAAACAAGCAAAACCAAAAAAACCCCCGGATTTACAAGACAAAGTCCAAAGACAAGTCACTCTCAGGGGTTACAAAGCAATTAACACAGTACTGCACATGGTAGGAACTCAACAAAGAATATTTCCCCTATTTGATTCCATTTTATGCTGTCATTTAATTCAAACAGGAAATCATTCTAGTATGTGCTGTGCACCAGTTCTGTGGAGAGGGCACTGCAGGAGGATACGAGTCAACATGCTTCTAAAACTGGCACTACCAATACCTGGTTTTATGACCCCGGGCACTCATTTAGCTTCTCTGGGATTGAGTTTTCCTATCTATGAAGTTAGATAATCAGATTATTTAATCCATTTATTACCTTCAAGCTTTAAGATTCTCTGATTCTGTGAATTTAGTGCTATTACTGTAATATAGAAAACACTTCTGAGGTCTACAGGATTTAAATACAGAGGGCTTTGAAAGTCAGGAGAGGCCGGGCGCGGTGGCTCACGCCTGTAATCCCAGCACTTTGGGAGGCCGAGGCGGGCGGATCACGAGGTCAGGAGATCGAGACCATCCCGGCTAAAACGGTGAAACCCCGTCTCTACTAAAAATACAAAAAATTAGCCGGGCGTAGTGGCGGGCGCCTGTAGTCCCAGCTACTCGGGAGGCTGAGGCAGGAGAATGGCGTGAACCCGGGAGGCGGAGCTTGCAGTGAGCCGAGATCCCGCCACTGCACTCCAGCCTGGGCGACAGAGCGAGACTCCGTCTCAAAAAAAAAAAAAAAAAAAAAAAAAGAAAGTCAGGAGAAAGAGTTAATGACACTACAGAAGGCAAAATAGACTCATCTATATATGGGACTTGGTAAATGTCATAGGTGTCATTAGAAATCAGTAGGAAATGGTAAGATATTCATTAATTTGCACTGGGATAATTGGCTTATCTGTATATGAAAAAAAAAGTCAGTATCCTATCCCATACCACATACACAAGTAAACTCCAGATTGACTGAAGGTAAAAACATGAAATCAAAACCTGAAAACTCTTAAAAGAAGGGGAACAACACACACTGGGGCCTACCTGAGGGCAGAGGATGGGAGGAGGGAGAGGATCAGGAAAAAACTAATGTATACTAGGAGACTAGGCTTAATACTTGGGCGATGAAATAATCTGTACAACAAACCCCCATGACATATGTTTACCTATGTAATAAACCTGCACATTCTGCACATGTGCTCCTGAACTTAAAATAAGAGTAAAAAAAATACTCTTAAAAGAGAAAGACTGTAATTATATCCTAATAAGGAAGAATTTCTTAAATGGAGACAAAAGCAACACACCAAATAAATAAAAAGTATTGCTAAATTGACCCCATAAACAAAGTTAAAAGATAAACCATACATTGGGAAAAGATATTTTCAATGAATGTAGCAAGTTAAACATTAGTATTCAGCACCTGTAAATATAGCCTACAAATCAGTAAGTAAGAGACAACCCATTAGAAAGCTGGATAGAGGATATGAGCAGAAGGTAAAAACTGAAAGACATAAACACATGAAAGGATTTTCAGCCTCACATTTTCATACCCATCATATTTGAAAAATTAAAAATTGGCTAACACCAAGTGTTAAACACGTATACACCTATGGGTAATCTACGGATTTTGCAAAACTCTCTCTTCTGCATTTTGGAGAAAATTGTACTACAGCAATATTGGGCTCAACTTTTATTAGAACCTGACTAAGTGTTGGAAGCAGAAAAGTGGTAACTTTTATATAATGCTGGTGAGAATGTAAATTGAAGATGGTATTGTACTCAGAGGTGGAAAGTCCAGGTGGTCTTACTAGTCAGTTGGGACAAAACTGTTTAGGATACTGAGTCATTTTGGAAAAAGTTAAAATATGAAAGGAATTGCACAGATCAATTTTTTTTAAACAAAAGAGCATCTAAATTGAGTCATAAAGGTAGTGAGAGGTTCCTGAAGATAAACTCTACCAGATGAAACCCGTGGCAGTACAAAGATGTAGAAGGCAAATGGTTAAAAAAAATCTGTTATCTTTATGAACCCTTTGCCATTGTCCAGCCATCAATCTTTTTATTTCAAGCTTGTCCTGAATTTGCCTTCTAAAACATTCTACCACTAGCTATTTTGCATATTCCCTTGGCTTAATATTTCTAGTAATAGCTTTTCCCCAGGGGATCTGCTTTTATTACTAGTTATTTTCTTCCCTTGGCTGACTGCTATAATTCAGCAAGCATGGCTCTGCTCCAAACTCCCCCTCTCCTGTGACTTAGCTCTCCTGCCACAGCTTTGGACCTGGTCCACCAGTTCTTTGTCTAGGACCCAAACTGTATGGTGCATTTAGGGAAATAATAAGATTCCCAGACTGGCTGGAGTGGATTAGATCCATATAAGGACATCGTGTTGAAAGGTATCATTGAGGTTTTATGATGAGTGATTGATGGTTTTGTAAATACTTGTTTCACCACATGGAACAACCACTTTGGCTGAATTTTGTTTCCGCCAACTGATTGCATCACTTTTGTGTTTCAAATTTATCAGTTACTTCTGGTTGATTCCCCCACTCCCCATCATCTCTTTGCTTCTGTAAGAAAACAAGATTTCTTTCCGTCCTTCTGAATTTATCTTATTCTCTGTGACCCCTCTGCTTTTTAAAATAAATCACATAGCTACATTACTTGCTTTTGTTTCTGCCACTGAGAAGCTTTCTGTGTCACTGCTGACACCAAGAATTTTGTAGTCTGATGAATTGTAGCTGTGTGAAAATGTTTTGCTTTTATGACATGAACATGTATTCCTGGGTGTGCAAATGGAATTAGGCTTGCTAGGTTGAATCAGGGCTTGTTTTAAAATAGTGGAAGAAATAATCAGAATTTACAGGAGGAAACAGTCAGAAATTTGAAGTCTAGAGACATGAGTTTGAATCCTTGGCACAGTGATTTGTGGGACATCGGACAAGTTAATTAACCTTTTTGAACTTTAGCTTTATCACTTATAAAGTGAGAATATTGCTACGTTTTTTAAATTTTAAGATGATATCAAGCAGACATGTCAGCAATTTAATAGCATTTCACAAAACATGATAAATTATATCAACTGCAATGCAGACATCAATGATAAAAAGTCAGCCATAAATAGATGTTTTATTAACAGTATCATCAAAAATTAATAATGCCTATTTTGCAAGGCGTTGTAATGAGAAAAGTTATTTCATAGTAGACATATATGTAGGTATGCATGGCACATAGTAAGCATTCAAAAATGGTGGCTATTATCATTATTTAACTGAAACATCAGCTGATATGTTGCTATTGTTTAAAATGTACATTTTAAAGATAAAGCATGCATGAAAAAAGAAAAAGAAAAAATAAAACATAATAAAAAATAGAACTGAACCCACAAACTCAACATTATGTCTAATGTCCTTCTCGAACTCCTGTACAACCCTGTGTGTTTATGGCCTCCTGGATATTTCCTGTTCTAAGTTTTTGCTGCTTTTTATCTCTGACTCATGTCTCATTTAACATGGCTGTTTTCTTCTCTCATCTCTGATTTTCCTTTAATTTTTCTGCCCATTCATTCAGGTTTTTGTGTGTATGGCAGACTTTATTAAATGTTTAGAGTAACTGGGTTGTATTATCCTAAAATATTTAAGATAATGGAAACCAGTCATTTTTGTTTATCCCATCTACTTGCTGCCTGGCCACCAGAAGTTTTCCCTTCTCCGTGCTCCTCGTCAGACTCTGGTTCCCATCATGTTGCTGATCTGTTCTTTCACAAGCACCCTCTTCACTTTCTACTTTCTCCATTACTAAACACTTGTAATTTCCTATGCAGAGTACATTTTTTTCTCTGTGCATATTTAATTGTATCCTTTTAACTCATGTACTTGGAGTCGCACCTTCTACATGTAAAGGGTAACCCACCAATATATTTTCTTCTTACACGCAAATCTGACGCTAGTTATCCATATATTTCCCAGACGGCTAGAGTTCATGCAGGATGTATTTAAGGATGTCTGAAATGTTAAACTCAGTCTTTCATCTATACTTTACCTGCACTCATGCAACAGAATGTGGCCAGAGGGAAACAAAAATCAGATACTAACTAGTCTCCCTTTGGATTCATGAGGATGAATCTGAAGTGTGCCTTTAATGCTGTCTGGAAATCATACTGTTTTCTTACTCTGTTCACTGTCTCCATTCTCCTAAATAACCATTTGACACTTTTCTCTCTCTCTTAAACAACATAACACCAACCATTCTCTTCCATTTTTGGCCTAGGCTTTGCCTCTTGGTAAACTTATACAGACTCATGGCTTTAAATGTTACCTATATGCTGATGCCATGCACACACATGCACACACAAACATACACATCTAAGATCATCTCTTCTCCTACTGCTTTCCCTCAAGCTTTCTTATAATTAAGAACCAACATGATATCTCCACTTGAATGCCAAATAGGTATCTCAGCCTTATATCAAAAACTGCTGCCTCCTCCTCATCCTCCACAACCAGCTTTATTGATTGCATTCTAAATCTTAGTTGATGCCAACTTCTTTCTTTCAGTCATGCAGACCTAAAGTCTTAAAATCATCCTTGTAAAATCATTTAAAATCATTTTTCTATCACATCATTTCCAAATAGCAAGTTCTATGTCAAGAATTCAAACACATCTTAGAGCCTTTGCTGTTACTTCACATCATCATTATAAACAAAGGACTTTGGGAAAATATAGGAGACTGATCTTGAAAATATGGGTGACAATGTTTTGATGACTAGTAGAACATGATGGGGGAATGAAGGAGGGGAAGGCAGTCTGAATAAAGGAGACAACATATGTATGTAGCATAGTGCATGCAAAGTTTGTTTCATTTCCCTCCAATTCAGTGTAACTTTGAACAAGTTAATTTAAAAGGAATATGTTCCATAGATTAGGGACCTCTGTTTATTGCAGTCATTGCTATATTCCTCATTCTAAGAACAATATGGGGCACATAGCAGATTCACAGTGCTTCTTCCTAGAGTGAATTGATGAACTAATTATAAAAAAAGAGTTTTTGCCAAGTGAATTTTAAAGTCTTTTCCAGTTTCACTATCCTAACTTATAAAGGAATCTTTCAAATCAAATTGATATAAGAATTTTATAGTGATCAGCACAGCTCCAAAAGAAAATGGCTGTTTGAGGAGTTGATTATTTCCCTATCCAGCAGGGGTTTCAGTGTTTAAGGATCTATATGACTACTTCTCAAGACACTGTACAAAGCATTTTTTAATTTGATCGGAGGTTATACTAATGCCTGTCTTAACTGTGATGTTCTGAAAATGACTCTTTTGAAAAAAAATGCAGTCCTCTCAGAAGCCATATATTTAATTTTTTAAAAATCTAAGCTTTAGCTAGCATTTTGTCTCCTTAGGATAGATCTCTGGTTCATCTATAGTTTTATAGGCTGTTATTGTCAAGTGCATAGACTGGATTCAGTCTGCCTTTTATGGCAATGTAAAGTAATTAAACTGCAACTTAGGCTTAAAAGAGAAATTCAGAAGAAATTTAGAAACACAAGCATAGTTCTGTGTGCTTTAAACTTTCTCAAGAGCTAAGGACTATATGTGTATACACATATACATCAATATATATCCATCCAAAAGAAGGACAAGTTTTATTTTGTGGAGGTTAGATGTGCTACTAGTATGTAGTACGTACATACTCTATTAACAAATAGTACTTATGATGGAATCTCAGAAACATTGTGTTTTAAACTTAAAAACCTCTCAAATGAGCTGCCCCTGCTCAACCTTCCCTGCTATCAACATGCCATGATTGTTGCACAGATTATTTTATCACCCAGGTATTAAGCCTAGTACCCATTCATTATTTTTCCTGATCCTCTCCCTCCTTCCCCCTCCACCCTCTGAAAGGCCCCAGTGTATGTTGTTCCCCTCTGGGTGTCCATGTGTTCTCATCAGTTAGCTTCTACTTATAAGTGAGCACATGTGGTATTTGATTTTCTGTTCCTGTGTTAGTTTGCTAAGGATAATGGCCTTCAGCTCCATCCATGTCCCTACAAATGACATGATCTTGTTCTTCTTTACAGTTGCTTAGTATTCCATGGTGTATATGTACCACACTTTCTTTAGCCTATCACTGATGGGCATGTAGATTGATTTACCTATGTAACAAATCTGAACTTGTATCCCTGAACGTAAAAGTTTTAAAAAAGTGCCTTGATTACCAAGGATGGCCCACAGGACCAGACTGCATTCTAAAGCAGGAGCCCCCTGTTCTGGACATCTGCTACATGAGGTAGGTGGATAACTTTTTTAGGACTATTTCTACTTAGAGTTCTGGGCTCTCATTTCATCCAGTCCAGTCCTCACAAGTCCTTCAATATTATGCTCTGCTCCACATCTTTGTACAGCCTTCTATTCCCTCCATGCCTGTTTGCTGAGGATCTTATGGCAGAGGAAACTTTAACAATTGCACACTTTTTATTTCTACTGGAATTCACCCCTACCAGGCAAGTAGGATAGAATCCTTTAAACACTTTTGGTGCCCCATCTTTTGGCTTTCTCCTTTCAACACTAATTTATAGCCAGTTCAAATATGCTATACTTATTTTTCTCTTTGAAGTATCTTGGGTGCATTGTAGTTTATCAGTAATGAGTATGGGCTTCAGAAAGAGACAGACTCGTGTTATTAATCCTGCTGCATATTATTGGTTTTGTAAACTTGAGTTCTTTAGGTGACCTCTTTAAACCTCTGTTTTCCCATCTTTACAATGAGAATCATAGTATCTGATTCAAAGTTTATATAGGATGATTGACGTCTTGTGTAGTAAGCATAATGCACCATGTCTGGCATATACAGTGAGTACTTTATAATTGAAAGTAATTATTATCCAAGGAAGCCCACTCCTCAGTGAATACTGATTATATAATACCAGCTGATGGATAGGATTGAGTGAATGGCCTCCATCCAATTTTATGTAGGATCTACTTAATTTTTTTCCATTGAGGATTTCACTTCCAGTCTTTTGAAAGGATATAAGGAGTTATTTTTTCCCCATATGTCCTCCTTGCCATCATTTCCACACAGAATTATAGCAAAGAAGGAAGCTTTGTGATCAATACCATTTCTCTTAAAAATGCTTATACATATTGAAAAACTAGTTTCTGAACTATTTGGTCACTAATATGAAAGCTTTTGAGTTACAGCTTTACATTAAAAATAGAGTTTAAGAAAAATAAAATAAAAAACATTGTATACAACGTTCTTTAATTGAAGATATTCAGTTAACTTGTCATTCTGTGAGGAGGTTTCTTGGAACTACTCAGTTGTCTCAGGAGACAGATAACTAGAATATTATCCTGCTGCCACTGCATAGGAAGAGAATGACTGATGGGTCCCTGGGGCTATGCACTGATACTCTGCAATGCCAGAAATAGGATGCAGAGGGGACAATGACATGGTAAATATCCTTATATCACAGTCATGCTATTTTCTCCTGTGCAGAAAGAGAGCAGAAAGAATGTCTTATATCTGGGTCTCCAGGTAATACCATTGCCAGTTGCTGCAACCTAAGTTTCTCCCAGAATTCCACACTAGTGAACCCATGCAATCTTTTATTCATTCTGCAAATATTTACTGAGTGCCAGCTGGTTGTCAAGGATATAGTGACAAACAAAGCAAACAGAATCCCTACCTTCAAGGACGTTATATCTTTGAAGACAGATAACATAAGAAATAGAGTTGCTAGAACTTTCATAACAGGGAACGTTGACTTTATCAGGGGAGTTGGGGCCAGGACTTTAATTCTCTACTCCTTTGATTTTTATTTTCTCTCTACACCCTCACTCACATCTTCCCCAACAAAGGAATGGCTGACTGGATGGTGCAGTGCAGTGGGGTCAGGCAGCGCATGCTCAACCTCCCTGGTTCTCTCTTTTGAATAAAAAACCTCCAGGGAGGGTTTCCCATGATCACCACTTCTCTAATTGGTTAGTTCAGCACAGACTGTCTGGCCCTGCTGGGAGAAAGCCAGAAATGGTGAAGGGTTGGTTCAATTCAGGCATCAGCATCAGAGCTAAATCATATTTTCTAATCATTTTTATGGAACTAAAATTGAGCTGACATTTCTATATTCCTCCATCTGGCCTTATTTTGCAATAATTCTCAACCCAGAAGAGAAAATAAATGTTATTTATCAATATCCCTTAAAGCCCTTCATCTTGATGCCTTTGTCAGATATCAAAGAAATAGTTGCCAAAAACTTGCATTTAAGAATCAAATTAACCCACTGGCAAATAGAGAAATTGAGAACTTGGGCTTAAACTGAAGAGGCATTGAAATATAGCAGGGAATTAGTCAATTTAACCATGTGGGGCCTTGCCCTTGGTGACTGAGGATGGTGACCCTTGGGAGATTGTAAGCTGGGACTGTGGGGATCTTTGTGACTGACTTGGATTTTTTTTAAGAAGGAACAACTAAAGGATCACATAATAGAGGAAAGAGTATCATTCTACCTAAACAGCACCTTAAGATAGGCAGAGCTTCGATACACGGGCTTTTTGACATCTTGGTAGGCAGAACAACTTTTTTCCTGCATTTACTGAATTTCTCAGTTAAGATTATAGACTGAACTTTTAAATTCTAAAGGCAGCTAAGTGCATTGAGGATCACTGAAAACTGATGTGTTTGTGTCAGGTACAGGGAAGGAATGTAGGTTCAGGAGCTCCAAATTCTGTTCTTTATGTAGCTTTGATCATGGCACAGGGCTAACTGGGAAACATATCCTATCTAAATTCTAGGATTCATTTAGGTTGTCCATAAGCTCCTGGGTCATCATCCCCTCTACCAAGTTGTCTTAGGTTAGCGCTCTGATTTGTTGGTTACATAAGCCTTGACTATGGCTTTAAATTGGAGACTTATACTATGATATTGACCACAGAAGTGTGTTAATTTCTGTTAAGTAACAATTAGTTAATATCTTGAAAGGAATGTGGGCTCTTCTTGGATTGATGTGGAGAAACAATTCCATGAATTTTTTGCAAACCCATGAGCTGAGAAGAAATGTATTCAGAATATTTAGACTTTAGAAGTCAAGCTTGTCAAGCAAATCAAGGAGGGATAAATTGTCACAAAATTATCATAAAATATTTTTATTTTTTATTTCTGACTATTAGAACAGTAACACTAGAAAAAATAAAAATTCAAAACAATCTAAATGTATTAAAAGCATGATAGTTGTATTATCTCTGGGTAGGTAAGGATGATGAAATATAAAGAATGAAAAAGACAGTTGGGGTTTTAGAAAGAAGACTGGGGTTGCTTCTCTGAAGGGAGCCTGGAAAGGTAAGACATTAAGTGGAAAATGGCAGCCATCTTGGTGCTCACTGGGCCCAGGGCGCTCAGGGTTCAGAAGCACCAACAGCATTTTCAATGCAGGAAGCTGCATGTGATTTCCCAGCATAAACAAAAGTGAAGAAGACAGGTTTCAAGTGTCAAGGACTTTAACAGCAAGAGGCAGTGGCAATGACTGCTAAGGCACAAGACAAAAATGCCAGCTCATAAGAAAAGAGTAGAGTCTATATTACTAGACAAAACATACAACTTAACCCCCCACTCCTAAGTGCTAGGCATTTAGAATAAAATGCAAATAGATTTTGCATATGGTAGATGGGAAGGAAAGGCATGTCTAATAAGATTTGATGGCTGAAGCTGCCACTTATGTCCAGTTCCAATGTCTTTGAAAGAGGGCAGGAATGTCTCAAGTGCTATTCTCTGAGAGTTGAGATGGTTTGCAGGAGTGCATCCTTCCCCAACTTTCTCTCTCTAAATGGCAAACATAGTGCTACAATTGAGCTTATGGGAGATTTTTCTTAAGTTTAATTTTTATGGTCTGTAGCCTTCCTGTAACTGACATGAGCTGCATGCAACCTGGTCAGACTCAAAGATAATATTTCCCTGTATGTCTCCTCTTTCCCTCAATTACTGAATATCTGTTCTCATTTCCATTAACAGTTTCATGGACCTGTATAATATAGAGTACTGGGTTTTGGGAACAATATTTCTATAGAGGCTAGATTTGACTTGAGTTTTTAATTTTATAAGGTGAGGTTGATGTTATAACAGTCTTTTGTGTCAAAATATTAGAAAAATCATGGCCTATGAGAGGGTTTGGTCTGGATTATTTCCACTGTGAGCCTGCCTCAGAAACTATACTATTTAGCAGAAGATAGACCAGGTGCCTATCTACCCAATCCCAACTCCACACAGTTCTCAAACTGGGGATGCCTCTGTGTTAAGATTAAGCAGAAGAAGAAAGTGACTGATCATGACTAAGCGTATTTTGCACTTTGTTAGGTCTTAACATTTAGAAAAAGAGATGTCATTATTGGACTTCCTTTTTTACTCATGTTCTTCATAATAGATGATTTTATTCAAATTTACATTTTTTAGGATTATTCCTAGACAACATGGCTAGATATAAATCAGGATGTAAAATTAAATAAAGAATGTATGCTCTACTCAGGATTCAGAAGGAATTCCAAGTTAATTCAATTCTGACCCATTTCAGGGTCTTCTAGAGGGCAAAGCTACCCTGCCCACCAGTTGCCTGGAAGAATCACAAAAGATCAGCCATCTATATGGTGAAGTGACTTCATGAAGGTAATAGCATGACCATCCTTACCTCCCACTAATGAACTGGCCACACCAATAGTTGACCATAGACCTAATGGATAATCTTATTAAGAGAATAAAAATCTGGTGGCCAGATTTTTATCTGGTGGATACGCACTTATTTCACATTCCCAATTTTTCAAAGTCAGAGTGGAGAGCAGAGATAATTTCCACTCAACTCCCTTCAAAGGAAAGCTAGAGCAGAAAGCCTCCAAGTTTCTCTCCAGCCCCAAGGAAGGAAGAGTGACTTATCTGACTCATCAGTTAGGGAGAAAACACTCAACTCAGACTTTTTGTTTTGCCTCTTAAGGCCTCCAATTTGGGAGATTAGGTCAAATTCAAGGAAAGTAGAGGTCTATCTGGCTGCAAATTTATAATCATATTCTTTAGTCAATTTTGAATTCTTTCTGTTTGTCCTCTATGCCTTATTTCTCAACTGAATCCAAATTTAAGAGGTCAACACAGAGTTTTTTTGTTTATTTGTTTTTGAGATGGAGTCCCACTCTGTTGCCCAGACTGGAGTAGAGTGGCGCCATCTTAGCTCACTGCAACCTCCACCTCCCAGGTTCAAGTGATTCTCCTACCTCAGCCTCCCAACCAAGTAGCTGGGATTATAGGCATGCACCACCATGCCCAGCTAATTTTTGTATTTTCAGTGGAGACAGATTTTCACCATGTTGACCAGGCTGGTCTCAAACTCCTGACATCAAGTGATCCACCCGCCTTGGCCTCCCAAAGTGCTGGTAGGTTTATTATTCCACTAAAACCCTAACTAGGACAAGACTGAAAAATTGGTCTTCCTAATGAAACTTTCAAAGATTTGAACAAATATCAGTTGGCTGGGCAAATAAATAGGTTGTTGGTGGTGGAAGTAGGAATTGTCTAGGCTAAGAGGATAGCATTGTAAAGGCATGGCACAGAGAACATATAATACAATCATGAGTTACCTAAGGACAGGAATATATTCTGAGAAATGCATCACTGGGCAATTTAGTACTTGCGCAAACATCATAGACTGTACTTACACAAACCTACATGGTATAGCCTGCTACACACCTATGCTATATAGTATAGCTTATTGCTCCTAGACTACAAACCTGTAGTCTAGGAAATATTTGTGTATCTAAACATATCTAAGCATAGAAAAGGTACACTAAAATTGTGGTACAAAAGATTAAAAAAAAGGTATACTTGTATGGAACACATACATGACTGGAGCTTGCAGGACTGGAAATCTCTCTGTCAGTCAGTGAGTGAATTGTAAATGAATGTGAAGGCCTAGGACATTACTTATTGTATACTACTGCAGACTTTGTAAACACTGTTTACTTTAGACTTTGCTAAATTTATTTAAAATGTTTTTTCTTTCTTCAATAAATTAAGCTTACCTTACTGTAACTTTTCACTTTTATAAACTTTTTAATTTTTTAAACTTCTTAACTCTTTTGTATAACACTAAGCTTAAAACACAAATATTGTATGGCTGTACAAAAAATTTTTCTTTATATTCTTACTCTATAAGCTTTTTCCTATTTTAAAAATTTTTTATTTATTTTTTAAACTTAAAAAAAACTAAGGCACAAACACACACATTTGTCTAGGCCTATACCATGTCAGGATCATCAATATCACTGCCTTCCACCTCCATATCTTATCCCACTGGAAGGTCATCAGGAACAATAACACACATGGAGCTGTCATCTCCTATGATAATAATACTTTCTTCTGGAATACCTCCTGAAGGACCTGCCTGAGGCTGTTTTGCAGTTAACTTTTTTTTAATAAGTAGAAGGATCATAGTAAAATAATGATAAAGAGTATAGTACAGTAAATACATAAACAAGTAACATAGTCATTTATTATCATTACCCAGTATTATATACTGAAGATAATTGTATGTGCCATGTGCTATACTTTTATATGATTGGCAGTGCAGTAAGTTCATTTACACTAGCATCACCACAAACACATGAGTAATGCATGGCTCTATAACATTAGGATGGCTATGGTGCCATTATGTGATAGGAATTTTTCAGCTCCATTTTAATCTTACGGCACCACCATCATATATAGGGTCTTCCATTGATTGAAACATCATTGTGAGCCAAGTGACTGTATATTTAATGAACTAAGCTGAATATGGTTGGAACACAAAAGGTGGAGTGTGAGTGGCTTTTAATGAAATTGGAACTGTATACAGGAGAAACACTGTATTCTATGTAGCTATGGATTTAAGACTTTTGTCCAAAGGCAGGTTTGCCAGATTAAGCAAATAAAAATATAAGATTACCAGTTTAATTTGAATTTGAGATAAAAAACAAAAATTTTTTTGGTACAAGTATGTGTCATATAACACTTGCAATATATGGGGCATACTTATACTGAAAAAGTATTCATTGTTTATTTGAAATTCAAATTTAACTGGGTGCCCTGTATTTTATCTTGCAACTTTTCCTGTATTTTATCTTCACAACATTTCCTAAGGGAAATGGCAAAACACTGAAGGCTTGAAAATGTTGAAGTAATGTGATGAGAAATTAGAGAGAAAGAAAACTAGTCATGCAGCAAACGGCAAATATCTCTTTCCAAGTGTTCAAGTTTCTTAAGGGCCCCTTTTCAATATGGTCTCATCATAAAACCAATAATAATAAAAACCTGCTATATTTTGCAACACATGGTACTACTGTAAATACAGCCTGATGAAGATAAATTGCAGTCTCAATAATACGGCAAACAAGGCTGACGTATAACAAAAAATAGGAATTTGGATTATCTCTCTTGGCATTCATGTTCTGCAGAGAAAAAGGCAATGCACAAAAGTGACTGACAACAATTTCACTTGCAAACCTGAGCACACTTATTTGGCCTCCTTTGAAATCTAACTTCCACACCTCCCCAGTCTTCTACAAAACCTGTGTTTATCATGCCTGACTTTTCAGAACACCATGACTTCTGCCGAGTTCATAGTCATCTCTGACTCACGGCAAGGTGTTTCAAGTGGACTGACACTGCAATTACTAAAACATGATCCATCAAGGGCAAAACAGCATCCCATGCTACCCGCAAAAGAAATGGGCACATCTCCAGCGAGCAGAAACTGTTCTCCTTATTTAATATGCATTTTCTCAACACAAATTCTTATTTTTCATTATGACTCCACATGTTTCCTAAATATCTCTGTGCTCCTTTGCTGTAAACTTTTCCCTGGGAGTTCTCTCATATAGCAATTGTTAGAGTTCTAATTGCAACTCTCTAGGACTCAGTAATGGTCAAATTGGAATGAGTTGTTCTCACCTACTGATAGGTCAATTTATGGGCTTGCAACTCTGTGAGTACACGTATCACTAGGAAACCAGGCTCTCCACAGGAGTTCAATAATCATGAGTGGTTGGGGCAATGTTAAAATAAAAGAGAAAAGGCCAAGGATAAAGTTTGAAAAAGCATTTGGCTTTTATTTTCCCTCCACAGAACAGGAAATGTGGCTCCAGTGCAAATAGGTATTTTAAAACACCTTTCTACCTCAAATTTTTAACATGTGCTATTGCCAATGTTCAATCTGTCCATTCAGTCCTAGCCTCAATATTACAAAAATGAAACTGATGTATAGAAAATCTGACCTGAGTAAGTGGCTAAAATCACTACCTTTTGGGCCAAGGCAAGACCTTACTAAGTGAAATAGCATTCAGTAAACCAATATCTACTCTGGCTAATGTCTGATGAATGCTTACCATGTGCCAAAACTGTTATCAACACTTTAATTATAACTATTTAATACGCATAGTAGTCCTATAAGGTAGGTACTATTATTCTTACTGTTTTACAAATGAGATAATTGAATTATAGAGAGCCATTGTCACATGGCTTGAGAGTAGCAGACTGAATATTCAACCCAGGCAATTTTACTCTAAACTGCACTTTTAACTATTATACTACTCTTATTCTGGGGGTGAAACGCCATTTAATAGTGGAGAAAATTATGTGGCTTACAAAATATGAATGTAGAATAGTGTGGGTTGCTTTGCTTTGGTAAGATGTTCAAGTCTAGCAGCTTTCTCAGTTTCATGTTGCTGTTTCATGATTCTAGGTAACTTTACAAGGATTCATGCTACATAAAGAATAGTATGTGTGATTGTAAACAATACTTGCTCAAAGCAACGATCACCTCTGTGCTTTGATTTAGTTTATTTCCATTCATTTTTTTCATTGAACACTCATGCATGGAGTGCCTACTGGATAAAGTGCACAACTTTGGTTATCAAGACATTGTTTCTGAACAGAAGAAGTGCACAACATATAAGAATATATAGATATGCAAGAAACCAATTGTGATAGTAATCGCATAGGCAATGAAAGCTACCCAGCTGTGTGCTAACCTTTAATGCTCCATAGAATATGTAACTCCGTGTCCGTCGAATTTCCAGCCCTGCTCTTTCACCCACCTGGCCACTCAACTGTTCTGCCTCCTTTGAAACATCTCCAAAGATTCCTAGAAATAGCCAGTGCGTGGTTCTTCTAGTACATACACTGATCTATCAGCTGCAGGGACTTTATCGTAGACACATTGATAAAGCAAGCCACAGGAGGAGAGGAATAACATTCTCCTGTTCTTATAAAATTGCTGGTGGGAACTTCACTGTGGTTACTGTTGATGTTGTTCCTAAGCCACTCTGCTTTTCTGTGCCAGAGTGGGGTAGGAAAATTGCCCCTGCTTTGGTCTTAGTTGAGTTTAATCAATATGGTGTCTGAAACAGAGCCATCAATGCCCAGGGTCTCACAGACTTTCAGAAAAACAGTCTCCAGCCATGACTGTCACTCTTCCCTCTAAAAAGTCAACAACCTATTCAAGGAATTAGGCAGGGAAATATGCTCCATTATTTTCCATTTCTGTTTATCTCTCAAGAGCTTGAAACAACCAGTGAAACAAAAACACAACATTTCCTTCTCCTTTAGCCAAAAAACTAAAAGTCTCATCCAAAATATGCAAATTGTGTCCATCAACCCATTAATAACGCACGGAATCTGACTTAGGTACAACATCCTGCTACACATAGAACATGGTAAGTGCTATAACGGAGA